>NC_000014.9:69914743-70066258 GCF_000001405.40 Homo sapiens | reverse complement strand
TTCAAGAGCTGGAAGGGATTTTTCTAGCCTCCAGGCAAGGTAATACCATAAGTCCCAACAGTGATGCCCTCCCTGGGAATGATCTCAATGGGAGAATCCTATACCCTGCCTCCTCCATTCATTCCTTGCTCTGATGGTGGTTCTGGCTGGCTAACCTAAGTTACTCTTGCCACTAGTTAACGCCTGTCCTTATTTCTCTTGTCCCCACCTAAGATGTCAATCAAAACAGCACGAGCCATGCTATGTCACATGACATGTTGTCTGTCCAGCCCAGAGCTTGTTGCTGATGGGGGCACAGACTAGATTTTGAGAGAAATCTCTCTGTTACCACCCTTAACATTCCAACCCCCTCTAATAGCCCATTTAGGATTTATCATACTGTTTCATCCAAACCTTTCATGACCTGATTTCTATTTCCAGCTTCAACCACCCCTTGGGTCACCACCTGTACTTATTGAGTTTCCCTAGTTTTCTGAATTAATGACTGAAGATGATAAGCTTCCCTTACATATGACTCTCAAACCACCAAACTGGGATTGTTGTTACTCTTAGTGATAATGGTTGCTATTTATGAAACTTTTAATAGGGAACACAAACCCTGCCCAGAAATTCATATAAATTATTTCATTTAAGAACATCACAAAGTAGGTGCTATTATTTGACCTTACACGTGAGACTTGAAGAACTTTAGAGCATTGCCCAAGGTCACCCAGCTAGTGAGGGGTGGAGGCGGGATTTGAATCCAGCTCATCTGTCTCCATTACCTGGAAGAAGGAAGGCCAGAGCATCATGGCCTTTCACAAGTTGAAGAGCCACGGGCTTTCTACGGTAGCCAGCCACGCTTTTCCATGACTGGGGTGGGTGTGGCAAGTGATGAGGGTTTGGAGTTCATGTGGTGGGGTGGCAGGGACCAGGTGTCTTGGTAACTGCTGTTGCATTCACTTCAGGAGCAAAGGACCAGATCTGATTCTGCAGGATCAACAATATGGACACTGCAGGCTCTGTAGACATCCAAAGCTCTAATGGTGACTTGGGGAAGCTCAGGAGGGCAGGGAGGTTGTACCCATTTAGAATGTAAAGATTCCTATTTTATAAAAAAGAAAAAAAGGAGACTGAAGGCCTCAGTCTCCTCCAACAAAGCCAGGCTGTGGGGTAGCAGAGTCTCAAAGGGTGCAGGCCCATGGCCACTGCCCAGGGCTCCTGCTCAGGCCTCCTCACTCCCACAACTGAGGGGAGACCCAGTTCCACACCCACCCACCTAGCAGTGTCTCACACCCACCGGGAGAGGTCTAAACATCTTCCCTGGGAAATGGTCCCAAAATGTCCCTGCAGTAAGCAACCATCTGGAGAGGCCCAGGTCTACATCTGTTTTTAAAGCTCCAATAAATAAATAAATGAAGGAAGAAAAAAAGAAGAAGAAATGCAGAACAGGGTGACTAAAATTGGCATGTATTTTTAAATGTTTATATTAACAAACTAACACCTTTTAACATGAAAAGCAATATAATTGTGCTAGCCACAAAATCATCGTAGGACTGAGAAAGGAATCGTGATTCTGAGAGCCCTAGAGTTAATGTGATCCAGCTGGCTCATCCCTGTGACTGCAGAAGCCTGTTTGGAGATAGTGTCAGTAGCTTTTCAGGCCCTCTGTGAATTGCCAGAATGTGTGACATGAGCCAAATTTCCCCCCAGCATCCCCGCCGCCGCCACCACCACCCCCGACCCAACCCTCCCGCCGGCTCCCATAGAATAGTCACTGCCATACAGAAAAAGAGAAGTTCTACTATTTCTGGGCAAGATTTCCACAAACCAGTTTGTCCCTTTCTGCTTTCATGAAATAAACCATTTGGATCAACGTCAGCTGATTGCAAAAATTTTCCCTTGTCTCAAAAGCAAGACTGATAAGGAAGCAAACATGGGAGGACCTTAGTGGCCGAGCCTTTATGTGTATGTTATTTCATTGCTCTCATAACTGCCCTGGGATGCTGTAAGCATGATTCATCCTGTTTGTTTATCAGTTAAATTATGTATCCAAGATTACACAGCCTATCCAGGATTAGAACTCAGAGCCCTCGGCTGTGAAGCTTGAGCTCTTTCTTTTCAGTCTTCAAATATGATCATGCCATGAAGCAGCACAAAGCCCAGGAGGAGCCCAGTGAGGCTGGAGGGGTCCACTGGCAGCCACTCTCCTCCGTGCCCCTGTGGTGTTGGGGCAAACTTGGATCTTTCTGAATCTTTTAACTGTTTCCTTCTCTTCCCGTTTTTGTCTGCTGGCTGACTTGTCCTACACTCTACTCCTTGCTTATGATACTTATTTTTCCATCCACAGCAAAACAATTCACATCAAGGTAATTGATGATGAGGCATATGAGAAAAACAAGAATTACTTCATTGAGATGATGGGCCCCCGCATGGTGGATATGAGTTTTCAGAAAGGTGTAGTACCCTGTCCTCCACACTAACACTAACATTCTTCTCTCCTCTTCTGTTTCTTCCTCTCCAACCCATTTGTCTCCTCCTCCTCTTGTCTTCCACCTCTCTGGTTCCCTTTCCCTTGTCTCCTCTCTTGCTCTCTCTCCTGCTCTCTTTTCACTCCTCCCTCTCCTCTGTCCTCTCTCTGCCCCCAGCTCTGTCCTAACACCTGCCAGCCTGACACATGGCATCCATACGAGGGATGCTCAAGACCGATGGTAATTGTTCTGGGATAAGGAAATGAGTATGGGGAAAGAAAGAGCCAAAATGCTGGAGTATCATGTGCGGCTCTTGGCTTCTCCAGAATGGCTGGGCATAAAGGGGGGAAAAGGGACCACATAGCCCAGCACCAGACAGAAGAGCAGCACTGAGAAACAGGCTTTCAGCACAAATTTCCATGGGGCAGTTATTCTCAGGGCTAAACTTAGAGTCCCAGGAAGTTGAGAATCAATGTATTTGGATTACAGTTCATTCCCCTCCCAAAAGCAGGCTTTAGGAGCCACCTTATCTGCCATGTTGCTACTATCAAGACTTGTTTCTCCTCCTGACCTTGAGGAAGCTGAAAGTACAGGTTTGAGTTCCAGATCTAGGTCAAATATCCATTTGTCTTCCTATGTTTTTCCTATTAAGAACACCCAGGTGTGGAGGCAGAGAGTTAGAATAGTGGTGGAGATCATCCTGACCCAAATGGAAGCTTCCCCAAGAGGTCCATGGGGCTTCTCAGAGTGGATGGAATCTTTGCCTTCAACTTCAATGACCCCATACATCCCATGGCCTCCAATAGACAAGTCAAGAAGTCCTTTCCTGAATAGATCATACTGTGGAGCAGGGAGCTGCCAGTACTGAGGGCAATGTTCCTTCCCCTTCCAAGCTGTCCCTCATGCCCTCCAGTACATGCCTGTTGTCACAGAGCACCCCAATCCCATCCCACAGCAGAGTTCCTGCAGCAGAGAAACAGGCTCACACCTTGTAGACAGCCCTGGGGTCCCATATCTAGGGCCAACAGAAATATTCCCAAAAAAATGCCTCTTGACAATCAATGAGCTTTCTCTTTTGTCCGCTGAGCAAGGTATAAAAAGATGTCAAAAGAAGTACCCAAAAAGGTAATAAAAATGTACAGTCGTGCATCACTTAGCAATAAGGATACATTCTGAGGAAGGTGTCCTTAAGCAATTTTGTCATCGTGGGAAAATTATAGAGTGTACTTTCACAAACCTAGATGGTGTAGCCTACAACACACCTGGACTATGTGGGCCTATTGCTCCTAGGCTACAAACCTGTACAGCATGTGCTTGTACTGAATATTGCAGGCAACTGTAGCACAATGGTATTTGTGTATCTAAACACATCTAGACATAGAAAAGGCACAGTAAAAATATCGTAGTATATAGCCTTATGGGACCACTATTGTAGATGTGGTCTGTCATTGAGCAAAACGTTTTTATGTAGCATGTGACTGTACTTGTAAAGTACACACACCACAAATGCACAGCAAGTCCTGTGCCCTACAAGCCCCTTTGGGTCAGTCTACTACATTATAAATGGCAAAGCCGAGCACGCCCACAGAAGGTAGCAGGAACATCAGAGGATCTGAAGAGACATTTAGGTAAATGCTCTTTACCCTTTAGAGCATTTAGTTCTTAGCCTCCCCTCCCCCAATCTCCCCCCCGCCCCCCGCCAAAAAGAAAAAGAAAAAGAAAGCAGAAAATTACAATTCTGGCTCACTAGTAGGACCTGCTAGCCACCATTGTGATTCCATGAAGGACCAGAAGAAACCATATAGGAAGAATCAGGCCCACACGGCAACCTCTCCACATGACAAAGAGCCAGTCTTTGGAGGGCAGTGAATTTCAAGGAAAGTTTTCTTCCCTGGGTGACTTGTTTTTAAAAGATGTTATGTTTTGTTGAGATACCCAGAGATGAACAGAAACTTCCATCACCTTGTGCCCCAGACCCATGATAATTCACATTGAGGAAACCAGTTTTGGAACACATCACCCCTAAGTGATAGAAGCCCAAAGGTGATTTAGAATTTGATGATTTACATCATTTTCTTCACATTTTCCCAGAAATGCATCAGCTGTAAATAGTAAAGGATTCCTATGTAATATTGTGGTTAATACATATTTATTTTAGTTCCCACCACTGAAGCCCTATGAGATAAAGAATGAGAAAGATCACACAATTCTACCTCCCTTTCTTCTCTCTCTCTCTCTCTTTCTCTTTCTCTCTCACTCTCTCTCTCTCTCTCTCTTCTCTTCCTCTGTCTGGTTTTCCTTCCTCATAAATACTTTTCTTTTAAAATTTTCTTTCTGAAACTCACAATGGAAGTGAGTATAGACATAAAGAAGGGACACAAGCCCTGGGTTCTGTTGACATATTCCCTGTTGTGGGAAGACCCTGGGTTATTCCCAGTGGGTTAGTAGTTTACCTGTTGCCCAGAGAAATGCCACTGTTATCATGTGACACCCAGTGGAATGTGCTGCCTGACTCACTTCCTACTAACTGTTGGCAAGGTCTAAAATGACTCCTCCTCACCATTACCCGCCTTCTGCCTTCTCCTCCCCTTCTGTCCTTCTGGCTCCCTTCCTTTGCCCACCTTTCCTTGCCTCCTGGCTCCCTGCCCCCTCACCCGTAAGAACAACTATGACCAAGAAGACAAGAAAAACTAAGACCATTTATTACCTGAGAACAACACAATCCACCATGGTCCTGTTGAAAGCCACCATGGTGGGACTGGACTGCATGTGCCAGGAATGACGGGGAATGATTTTAAAGGCTGTGCTCCAGGTGACCAACCAATCTACCGACCCAGTCGACACACTCTCTCTCTTGTTGTCCCTACAGGAAAACCATAAGGGTTAAAATAGTAGATGAGGAGGAATACGAAAGGCAAGAGAATTTCTTCATTGCCCTTGGTGAACCGAAATGGATGGAACGTGGAATATCAGGTGTGAGATTCTTTAAAAACAAAACAACAAAAAAAAAGAAAGAAAAATTAAAACAAACTGAAAAACAACAACAAAAAAGAAAAAGCAGCTATATTTTTGTCTCCCTCCTTTTCTTCCCTTCTCCTCCTTTCTCTTTTTGACCAATGGATTTTTTTATTCTTTTCCCTCCTGTATTCTCGCTCTCACCCTGTTTCGGTATCATCTCTGCCTTCTTAGCCTTAGCTTATTCCAAATTCCTCCTTTACCGCCTTCTGGGCAGCACTGCAGCCTCAACTCCTCATTACCCTAATGAGTTATTTCCCTGTTTTGCTACAATTTTCAATTATTCAATTGCCATGGGCCCCTGCACTCTCCCCCACCCCACCCCTACACTGTAACCTGTAAATGTGAAAATTCCTTGGTGGGTGGGGAGGAGAAGAAAAAAAAGGAATGTGATGCGATGCATGCCTGTGCCCCTTCCTGCCTTCCTCCCCTGCCACCCCTCACTCTTTAGCCTGGATTGAATGTGGGGGGGTCTGGGATGGGGGTTGGGGCCTGGGTTGCAATGATGCTTTGACAGTTTTCTGCTGCATTCCCCAACTTCCTTTGAACGCTTGGCAGGTTATTCACTTGTGGAGTGGCCCATAGGCCCCTCTGCCCTTCGAGGAGGTAAGTGTATTTTCTGGCTGTTTCACAGTTGGGCAGACCGTGGCATGGGAAAGTGTACCAATTGTCAGAAGCCACGGCTTCTGAGAGCTCTGAGAGAGAGAGTTGACTTCTGGGGTAATCATGCAATCTGGAATTCTGAGCTATTCTTCCTCCTCTGGGCATCCCACCCCATGCCATTCTATGTTCCTAGCCCAAGGTTGGGTGCCTCATTCAGGCTACTTTGGGACAATGCAACCTCTAAAGCAGAAAATTGAGAGTTCCTGAAGGGAAGGAAATAGTTCCAGGTATGAAAATTCCCGTAGCCAGGGGCCCCAGAAAAGGACTGACATTGGGCAGGCCTGGAGTGTTGACTTGTGGATTTTCCAACAGAAGAGACTCTAAATGATGCAGTTGGTGCTGATCCCTGACAGACAGGTGTTGGAAAGGTCACAGATGTCTGCCTTTGCTTGGCATCTGCAAGAGAAAGTACCGCCCAGATCCCAAGATAGCCCTCATCCCACACTAGAGAAGTGGCCTCATCTCCTGCTTTCCTCAGGACCTGCATCTGAGAATACCTGCCAGGGGCTCATCCCTAAAGGACTGATTATGTTGCAACCAGGGTAGAAGTAAGGAAGGATTTCTTCCCTTGAAGAAAATGATTGGAAGCCACTACTTTGAATGGCTTCCAATCATTTGGAGGCATAGATGTGGGAATGGGTTAGGGTGCTCCTGGGAAATAACAAGAGGACGTTCACACTCCCATTCAGGAGAGATATGCTGCTGGGAGCCTCCTAGCAAATGAAGCAGTGAAATCCACCTGTTTGTCAAAAAGGGGTGATCATACTGCAATTAGTTCATATTCATGTGACAAAGAGCAGCATAAAACTTTCCACACGAGGACAGAGCTAAGAGATTCAGCAACAACATTCCCAAAGGATTCTCTACAGGCCTTCTCAGTGTGATTGGTCATTTCTCATTGTCTGCTGGGGACTCTCCTGCAGAGCTGACCACTTCTGTGCCTGCGCTGGTTTGGACACACCTGATGCTCTAGGGGCAGAACTCCTCTCCTTCTTCACTGCTGGTTCTCTTCGTCACCACTCAATAAAACGTTGCCCTCAGCCTGACTGCCAAAAAGTGCTGGAAGAAAGAAATTATCTCTGGTTCTATTGTTTCCCACATTGTATTCTTGCCCAACTTCCAGTTCTTGCCACCAACAATATTCTCAGAGGTTGCCTCAGCACCTGCCCTACCTCATTCCCACCTCCCTTGAGCATTTATTCCATGTATTCATAATTGGTTGGAAGCAGCAGATACCCAAGGCCAATTGTAAGTCACCTTCATCAGTTTCCACAGTCCAAGCTACTTAGATGCAAACGAAAGCAGCACATGTACAGCGTACAGGAAGGAAGGCAGTGGTTCCAGACAAGAGGAAGAGATTGGAAGTCCATACATGCCTTTATTCCACCAGTAAAAAGGCTCTTCTCTTATGCCTCCCTTAAAACCTCTACCAACAGCAGGACAGAGAGTGACCCAAGATAAGTCTTCAAGAGACCTAACCAAATGCAAATGTCTTTGGCTAATCCCCATTTAAGGACATCTTCCTGTTTTGCACAGATTCTTTGCCCAAGGAAATGTCAGCAATGCCCTCGTGGAGGGAGTAGGTGAGAAGACAAGGATTTCAGCAAGCTATCTGTGTGGTGTGCCCCCAGATCTCCCCAGTGACCGAGATGCCAAGATGAAGAGTGCCAAGAAGAAATTGGTCAATTTTCCAGCTGCCTATTTTATTGTCTATGTTTTCTAGGCGGTTAATTTCCAGTTTCTTCAGTACTTCCCGTATTTTGACATTAGACCATAAGGTGAAAGGTCATAAAACCTGATTGTCTAGACTCAGAAGCAAATGGAAACCCATCCAAATTTCCAGAATTCCCTGCTGTTCTCAGAGTGAGAAACAGAACAGTGGAAATTGCTTTTCATTATCACTACTGCATGGGAGAGTCTGAAACATTCAGAATGGCATAGTCTTTGCATGGTCAAAATGACAATTGCATTAAAAAAATGAGAGACTGGATTTGAAATAGGAGACTCTATTTTTGGCAAACAAAACAGACTTCAGAGTTGAGATTAAAAGCTCTGGATGAGCTGGGGGATGGAAAAAAGGGAAGGAAAAAAGGGAGACTGAATAGGAAACACAGTTGCTCTGGAGTCTAGAAGTGGACTTCCGAGAGCAACACTGAGCAACATAATCAAGACTGTTGGGCCTGGGCCTGGACATTGGAAGCCTTCGGATAGAAAGGAAAGCTCTCTGTCTCTCTCTCTCTCTCTGAAGAATGGGGCCTGTTTGGTCCTCCTTTTTCGACAACCGTGGGCTCATCTTGACAAGCTGCCCAGATGCTTCCTAATTACTCACAGTCCTATGCTCTTTCCAGCTTGTCCCTGGGGTGTCTGAGCAGGAATAAATGACTCTCACCTGACCCAGGGGATCAATACAGGGGAAAGTTCAGCTCCAGCTTCTCTCATGAGCAGCAGCAGGAAAAACACCCTCGAGGTATTGTGTCAGTCAAAGCTGGCCTACCCAGGTCTTGCTGACCCATCTATAACTGCTGAGCAGAAAGTCTTGGATTCATGGAGACAATGACCAGAGAATGATGGAATTCCAGCCAACTGCAGGCCTTCTCACTACTCTAGGGATGGGCCAGATGTTCGGTGGCATGTATGAGTGAAAACCAGGGCATCAGGGACCTTTCTGGAAGAGCTGCCTTTGTCTGACCCACCTGTGTTCATTTATGTGCTGGGATCTCTGATCTCCCCTGGAACTTGGGGGAAGCTCTTCCACGCAAACTCCCGGAAGGAGCAGAATAAACAAGCTCTTGCCTATCTATCTATCTATCTATCTATCTATCTATCTATCTATCTACCTATCTGCCTATCTATATCTATCTATCTCAATGTAGTGAGGAAAGCCATTGATCCATTAACCTTTGGAATTCTACATGGGAGATACCTAAAAAAGTGAACTGCCTTGTTTATGTATCATGCAGACTCTGGATCCACATATATCTCAGTGGCTGTGAATATAGGATGATTGATCACAGGCCTGAGTTGCATTCCTACAGATTCTTAGGAAAAAAATTGATTCACAGACATGTCCCCCCTGGTTCCCCCACAACACACACTCCTTCCTCAGCAATCTCTATCAGTCACCAACTACACGTTGAATATGTGGCAAGCTCTTCCCAGACCTTTATCTGAGAGCCAAGGAGTGAGGGGCTGTACTAAGATATCATAGAAATGAAAATGTGGTGTGTCACAAGTTTCCTTAATTCTTAGATCTTAAACTCTAAGAGGGTTCAGCATAAGTACAAATTCAAGGGCTAGAGACAACCTGTATTGGGTGTGTCTTTAACTCAGTTTCCCAATCCACATAGGGACCTTGCATTTGTCATCTCTCATCTATGTATAGCTGTTGGTATGACAGTTTCTCTGTTCCAGAATACCTGAACTCTGACTTAGCCTGTCCTTTCTGAAACAGAAAAATCACCCAACCAGAGATCTATGAGATCTATGGAAAAGACAGTTGCCAAAATAGACAGCAAACAGCCAAACTTAATTGAACACTACCACATGCAGGGACTTTGCTAAGCAGAGGTGATACAAAATGGGAGGAGCCCATAGCCCTAACTTCCAGGATATATCTACGGTAAAGACAAACCATTCAAGGAAAACATTCTGCAGGACTTACCTTTTTGCTAAGTCATTCTTTTAGGGGAAATCAAAGTTCTAGTCAACGTGGCAGCTAGGAAGGCATTTGTGGTGATGGAAACCTTATGAGCACTGAGAAGCTGAGCATGAGTTCAGCTAAGTCGTTAGGGATGGAAGACATAGACCTGGGCACTGTTCCACTCTTGCACAATGCTACCCATTTCCTTGAGCTCCCATTCAAGCCCCATGGTCATTTTTGCCACTCATAAGTTAGCTACTCTGGCAGGGTTGCAACTTACACAGTTTTCATGATAACTGGATTCTCACTCCTTTTTTTACAGAATGGATGTGATAACCTGGTATCCTACACAGTCATGAGTGACCAACCTACCCATTTGGTTCCCCATCCTCATTCCTCCATTCCTAGCCCTAGGGTAGCCGGGAAAGCATAGGAGCAAATGCCCTTACCAGGGCCCTGGTGCTCAGCAGCCTCTCCGGCTGCTCACACCTCTTGCTGCTGCTCTGTGCATGCTCCAAAGGCTTCTTTTTGCGTATGGCTGCTGAGCTCTCACCTACTAAGCTCTCTGCTTTCCTTATGCTGCCAGCAACCACAAAACCTGGTGATACTTTCAAGATGGGACATTAATGCTCTTTCCTTTTCTTTCTTCCATTTTTCTGGTATCCATTTGCAAACAGCGCTCCTGTTATCTCCAGGTAAGAGGTGTCTTGTCCCCCTCTTTTCTTTCCACTTCTTGCCAGTGCCATTATTTGGTTTAAGACCAATGTCCTTTGATTTATTGAATAAGAACTGCAGGCTCAAGTTAACCTGACAATTTCTCCCAAGGACTGGGAGATTTATTTTCCCACATGAAGAAATTATGAGAAAGCAATTGTGAGGAAGGCAATTCCTTGAGCATCACTTCTGTCTGGGGACGTGGGTTAAGGCATAGCTGATCCTCTCTGGGACCAGGAAGAGAAATTAAGCTTAACAAGGAGATGGTGGGTCATAGACTTCTCCTGAGTCTTAATTCATCTGCCATCTCATGTTGTGGGGGAAGAGACAGTGAGATTCAGAGCTGGAATCTCCTAATATAATTGTGACAGGATTTGAAAAAAAAATACTTTAATCCCAAGGGATCCAGGAAATAACCAAACCTGTTGTGAGAATAGGAAATGCAATTTTTAAAGAATCTGGAATTTTACCAGTCCTGGAGATCTTCCATCTCATCACAGCTGAGACTTAAATTGCTAGAATTTTGGTTCATTTGTCATTGACCCTTAAAGTCCTATGTGCCGTGAACAAGATGAATTAGGATGGGGGATTGGGGCAGTGTTCTGGCTGGAAATATAAATTTTAGAGAATTTATTTTGAAGAGATTCTCATGCAGAATCTAGGTGCTATAGAGGACGTACACCTACTTTGAGAGTATGCTTGCATGAGTGGAAACCAATCATAAACAACATTCAACTTCATGAGCAGATATGAAAGCATTTTCAGCATATCTAGCAATACTATAACTCTTTGTGCAAGCAGAGTGGCCTACACAAGACAGTTTCAATATATTTTAAAAGAACGTCTTACATTTCATCAGTCCTTTGAACACAGAAAAAAATGTTAAGGCCACTTAAGAGGCAAAACATCTTACAGAGTTCATTTATATTCAAAGTCACCTACAGGCTACATCTTGGGTTCAGGAAGGGGCGGTGTACATAGTAAGGACATAAGCCTTCTGGGAGCCTTAAACAAACAAAAAAAATGTAGGTAACTCCTACATTTTTCTTTTGTGGAAAAAACACAGTTACTCCAGCTTCCTTGGCTTTTTGCTTCTTTTTTATACCAACAAAATAAGGGCTATCCTCAACCCTCTGTTCTTCATTCTTCTCCCAGGGTATTGATTTCATAACATTGGGTTTTTCTTCTCTACTTCACTCATCCTCTTGCCTGTGAAGGTATGTAAGGCTTCTTTGTTCCAACTCTTTCCTCCACCCGCCCCCCCTCACATAAATGCATAACAAAGATTGTGATTTAATTTAAGTTTCTTTCTACTTTTAACATATTTGCAAACATCAATAGAAGCTAAAATGGGAAAAAGGAAATGTTTCTTTTCCTAGCTCTTTCAATCTGTAAGCCTTTAATTTAGGAGCGCTGATTAGCCTTTCAATTCGTTGGAAATCTCAAATACTGGTTTTAATTTTCCTAGGTGGACAGAGACAGAGGGAATATGTTCATTCTGAGCTAACCACCCCCCCACCCCCAAGCTCAGGCGCCTTGCAGGAAGAGCACTAGCTACATCACTCTGCAGAGTGTTCACAACATCCTATTCTTGTCTGGCCTGGCAAGCTCTTTGTCCTTCCAATATTTGTTCAATCTTCCATCCTATTCATATTCTATCTTTCTCTCCCCTCCCAGCCTCTCTTCCTGTTCCTAGAACTGAGAGTTTATTTAGTCAGTCTGAATATCTAGATCACCTGCCATTTATTCTCTTTACTTGAAATTCTGAGGAGTCACATAAACAAGATATCAGAATCACTATGGTCCTCTAAATTGAAGACTTATAATTCTCTCAAGAAATTAACAACATTTGAATTTAAAGGAAAGATCATGACAAAAATAGAAAAAGGCAGGAATTATTGCCAAACCGAGAAACTAGAAACTAGAATTAACTTAAAGGCATGTGACTCAATCAATTAACAAATATATACAGAGAGCCTCTGTGGGACTGTGGGAGATCCAAAGATAGAGGATTGGTTATTTGTCAAAGGGATTTTTGCAGAAAGCTAGATGGAAAAACTGACTGTCACCACAGAGGTGGACAGGTCAGTAAGTAGATCAATATCCTGCCAGATGGATATAGTGCTAGATTGATAGGTAGACAAGGGGTTAGACAGGTACATTTATATGTCACTGGAGAGCTCATTATATTGGTATAAAGTTATTGTGTCACATGTAAAGTATGACATGGGGGAATTGGGGAGGAAGGAGTGGAATAATACTGTCGCTGCTAAGATAGGCATTGTGATATGGTGCTTAAACCTGCAAGTAAAGGAAAAGAGTATGGAATCTGTGTGTCTTTTTCTAAGGGCTTTTTCCCAGAGTAGCTTGCAGTCTGGCTTCTAGGGTTGCTGGCCTATAGCCAGAACCCTAGATTCACCCAGATTTACCTTCAGAATTAACTAATCAGAGACTCAAATTCAATAGACTAAATGAAGTCAGGCTGCTAGAGGATGTCTGCTGACTTGGACATATGCAGAAAGACATGGATCCTTGAGAAAACATTGTTTCCAAAAGTGGCCACCAGCACTAGAGGAAGGACAGCACCACGGACAGCTCCCAGACATTTTAGGATTGCCTTCTGTGTTTGGTGCCCGAACACTGAGCAAAACAGCGAACTCAGGAAGTCTCCACACACTCTCATACCATCTTCATGCAGTCCAACTAAGAAAATTCTTACATAAAATATAAGGCTGTCTGCTTGGTAATTTAAACCCTTGGCTTATAGTCTTTTCAGTGAATTTCTTTCCTTGCAAACTCGAGAGTTGGAGTCTCACGACTGCCCTTGCTTCACCAATTCCCCAGCTAGAGACAAAAGACCTTCTTGGCCTCTGACCCATTTTGTCCTTGAGATTATCCAAGGACTACAGGATTCCCCTAGGAGGTTTACTGTGTGGAATGAAAGCAATTAAGGAGCTGAATAAAAGAAATAATTGCATGTGAGAATGTGGACTTGGATGGGAAGATGTTTAAATGAGCTCTGAAAGAAACAAGCTGCCAAGAGCAATTTTCTAATTAAAGGGGAATAAAAAGATTCAATCTCTATTTCACTCTAATCCAGAAAACATGTCTTCATGGAGAAGTGCTCTTAAAATGGACTCATCAGCCAAAGTGGAAAAACAAAAAACAAAAAAACTGTTCAACATGAGAAGGGACCATTGGTAAATGAGTCAAGATGCTGTGAAACCAGTAGACATTTCCTTTGAATAAATGTACTTCTGCACCTTCAAGAACTCTTACAGGAAGTGGTTGAACAAACAGGCCCAAAAGTTCAAAATAGTTCAAGGTCAAAACACTTGCCCTTTCTTCCCAGTTCCCCAACATCTCACTGAGTGTCTTGAGAACTTCACTTGATGCTATTTCTCAGGAGATGTTTAGGTCAGGTTGTCCACCCAGGTATAAAAGAGAAAGAGGAACGCTTATCCCAGTCTGCAAGGCACATTCTCATGGTCTGGTTATAAAGTGTTTAGTACTTCATAAAAAAGGCACTAAAAATATATATAAACTCCCCATTCCCAAGAGTTATTTGCTTTGTACCCACTGCCCATGCCTAATACTCTGAGCTGTATCCTTCCAGGGAATGGAAAAGGTGTTAAAGCGAGTCTGATTTTGTTTTGTTGCAGATGTGACAGACAGGAAGCTGACTATGGAAGAAGAGGAGGCCAAGAGGATAGCAGAGATGGGAAAGCCAGTATTGGGTGAACACCCCAAACTAGAAGTCATCATTGAAGAGTCCTATGAGTTCAAGGTCAGGCAAACAGTGAGGTCTAATTGAATAATAAATAAATTAAAGTGGGAGGCAGAAGACCTGGGGTGTTTTTTTCCACTTTCACTAGTGAATATGTGAAGTTGAAACTGAACAAATCACTTACCCACCCCAGGTCTCAGTTTCCCCATTTGTAACATGAAACAAATAGTGCTGACCATTTGTATGCTAGGAATATTGTTAGGAAACATAATATAGAATGTGAAATAAGTGGACTAGAAAGTCCTGAGATGTATTATCATTATTGTTTAACTGTGTTTTTAAAGCAAAAATATTAAAACTCACTACTACAGGGCAAGATATATTAACATCATTATTATTATTCATTATTGTATTATTCTAAATAGCCAATTTCAAAAGTCACAACCAGGCCAGGCAGTGAGGGACTCACGCCTGTAATCTCAGCACTTTGAGAGGCCGAGATGGGAGGGTCACTTATACCTAGGAATTTGAGACCAGCCTGGGCAACATAGGGAGACTCCATCTCTATAAAAAATAAAACAAAATAAAAATCAGCTCAGTGTGGTTGTACATGCCTGTGGTCCCAGCTACTCAGGAGGCTGAGGTGGGAGGATGGCTTGAGCCCAGGAGGTTGAGGTTGCAATGAGCCATGATTGCACCACTGCACTCCAGCCTGGGTGACAAAGTGAGACCCTGTCTCAAACAAAACAAAACAAAAAGATTACAACCAAAAACAAAGGGAAATAGAAGGATTGCCTCAAAAGAGATCGCCCAAGGCCATTCCATGCGTAACTGTCAGAACACCTTGGAGACAGGGCATCTTTCATTCCTTTGAAGAACCAGACTCCTCATTGGTTCTGAGCATTCTAACCTCATGGTTCCAAGTTTTTCTCTTCTTAACAGACTACGGTGGACAAACTGATCAAGAAGACAAACCTGGCCTTGGTTGTGGGGACCCATTCCTGGAGGGACCAGTTCATGGAGGCCATCACCGTCAGTGCAGGTGAGAAGTGTCTCAGGCTGGCCTTGCTGGGAGAAGCAGGCAACCTCTGAGAAGGAAGCGTAAAGCCACGTTAACAGCCTGCCAGTCCCTAGGAAGGCTTGTGTGTTCAGTCTTCCCAGCTCTGGTCCTAGGTGCCTGCTTGGAAAAGAATCATGGCGTATCTGAAAAACATGGTTATCTCTGGTTTCAAATCGTTGTTCTGCTGTGTGAACTGGAACAATGTACCCTCTCTGACCTCAATGTCCTCTTTCCAAAGGGGAACTATTGCTACCTTTCTCAGAAAAGTAGAAAGGTACAGAGTCTTGTATAAAATCCAAACTCAATAAATTCTGATTTCTGTCATTCTTTCTTTTCATGGGTTTGGTCCCGCTCTTCTGTAAAATGTGGGACAATTCTGATTTAGAGATGTGGGAGTTAGGAGTTTATAAAATGTGTTGCATTGACTCTCCAACAAAACACTCTGGATGATTCCATACCCCTCCCTCGGCATTTACTGACAGGCTCCCTCAGTAGTGACCCACAGCACAGCCGGGAGTCCTAGAAGCCTGAGGGGACTGCTGGTTGGAACAGGGACGGAAAAGGTCTCCCAACCACCATCACTATCACCTCTCAGCACCACTGAGGCCTCCTGGCCTTGTCTTTTATTGAGAGACTTTGTTGTCATAGCAACCCACAGGGTCATATCCCCAAGGCCCCAGAGCCAGAGCAAAAAGACAGCCAGGAAGAGAGGTTTGCTGCTGCTGCTGCTGCTGCTACCCCACTTTTCTCATCACCTGCTTTAGATCTTTCTAGCTCCCCCTCTGATGACCTGACTGTGCCCCTCAAGACAATAAACGGAATGTAGGCCACATCATCTACCCTGCTCCTTTTACAAAGGAGGGGACTGAGGTTCAGAAATAAGAGATGATTTACCCCAGCTTACAGATTTTCTTCATGGCAAAGCTGGAATGAGAACCCAAGTGTTCTGACTCCTGTTCTTTCAAACCCCAGCTTCTACCGGTTATGCCAAAACATGACAGAAGTTGCCGTTGGCAAGGCACAGGCATGCCTCAGCATACCCTCCCCTCCAGGGCTGCTGAGTGGGCAACTCTGCCCACATTTCCTGGCAAGGACAATCAAGGCCCATCCTGCTTTTTCCCATGAGATGTTTGGAGGAGGGCACTGGCTCTGCAGTATATTCTCGTGATCTGGAATGACAGCCATCCCTCAGGGGACAGATAATGACCAGAACCACAATGGTTATTGCAGCAGTCAGGTCAGAAAATTTGAGAGGAGCCCTGCTGGCATCCAGTGAAGAGTGGCCACACCGAACTGATTTCACTTCTCTCCTTAGACAACAAAATGCAGCCTGTGCATTCTCCTTTCTTTTTTTTTTTAATTATACATTAAGTTCTGGGGTACATGTGCAGAACATAGAGTTTTGTTACATAGGTATACACGTGCCATGGCGGTTTGCTGCACCCATCAACCCGTCATCTACATTAGGTATTTCTCCTAATGCTATCCCTCCCCTATCCCTCACCCCTGACAGGCTCCAGTGTGTGATGTTCCTCTCCCTGTGTCCATGTGTTCTCATTGTTCAACTCCCACTTATGAGTGAGAACATGCAGTGTTTGGTTTTCTGTTCTTGTGTTAGTTTGCTGAGAATGATGGTTTGCATCCTCCTTTCTTTCTGCTCCACTGTCTTGTCCCTCTTAATCTCCTTCTTTCTTCTCTTCCTTATTCCCTGGCCCTCTCTCTCCCACTCTACCTTGGTGCCCTGCATTCAAATTGACCTATGAGGCAGCCCAAATTGTTTCCCCACTATTTTCTGGCACGCTGGCCCTGGCCCCCACCAGCTGCCCAGAAGACAGCTGGAGTCCCCTTCTAGCGGATGATGCCTGTGGTGCGGGTTGGGCTTGACTTTCTCATGAATGATTATCTGACTTCGTTACCCGTTCTCTTGCCTGTTTATCTTGCCTTCAGCAGGGGATGAGGATGAGGATGAATCCGGGGAGGAGAGGCTGCCCTCCTGCTTTGACTACGTCATGCACTTCCTGACTGTCTTCTGGAAGGTGCTGTTTGCCTGTGTGCCCCCCACAGAGTACTGCCACGGCTGGGCCTGCTTCGCCGTCTCCATCCTCATCATTGGCATGCTCACCGCCATCATTGGGGACCTGGCCTCGCACTTCGGCTGCACCATTGGTCTCAAAGATTCAGTCACAGCTGTTGTTTTCGTGGCATTTGGCACCTCTGTCCCAGGTGAGAGTGAGAGGTGCTTGAATTTGCAAAGAGGATTTTACCTGGTTCAAATGACCCCTGGACTCCATCTCATTATCTTCCACACCATCTCAGATCTGAACTTAACAGAGCCTCTGCCCTTAAAGTGCACAAAAGTCAATCAAAGAGATGAATAATGACATTAGTAATGACAGCTAATATTTCTTGAGCACTTTCAATGTGACAGACACCATGTGTGTTCAGCAATTTACACATTTACATTTTCCCCCTGTAATGTTTCCCAAAGCCCTATTAAATAGGGTAAGTTATTATCCCCACTTCACAGACAAAGAAACTGAGGCCCACAGAGGTTAAGCTACATGCCCAAGTAAGTGGTCCAATTTCTTAACCTCCACATTATGTGAGTAGACCACAAACAGTGAAATTAAAAGAATGTAGATATTGTTCTCCTTCTATTTACCTCTGGCGATCTCTGAGAGGTTAAAGATTAGCCAGCTCAAAGATATCAAAGGAGAAATGCCCACATACATTCTTGGCCTCCTCTACTTGGAAGGACACTGTGAGTACAAAGTATCTCCTAGCAGGACAGCCAAAGGAAGTTCCACAGCTTTTATCTTTTTATAGGATGAATTACATACTCTTTCTTTTTCTTAGGAACACTCAGAGACAAACAGAAAGGAGCGGACATTCCTTTACTCATTGAACAAATATTTACTGAGCACCTATTATGCCTGTTACAGTATTGTGCTAGTTTTTGGGACTATAGTGAAAGGCAAGATACACATGCTTCCTTCTCCACGTGGAGTTTATAATCTACTGAAGGAGGCAACTCTCAACTACTGTAATTAAAGTTATCTTGTTAAATCCTAGGAAGAAAAAGAAAAGGTACTGCATACGGAAGGAAGTTGGGCCTGAATGTAGGAGTTAGCAGGTAGACAGGGGCTGCACTAGCCCAGGTTCTTTACTTAATTCAGTTAGGGGCTTTGGGGCCTCTGAACTCTGAACTTCTGCCAGGGAGCTGGCATCCCAGTTGCCCCAGAAAGAAACAGAGCACATCCTCCTGCAGGGAAGTTAGGCTGAATCTCATCAGACAGGACTTTTCTGGCTGGGCCAAGGGAAATCTTTCCTGTACCAAGCAAACATATCCTTCAAGAGAGTAGCTGAATTCACATCAAATTCTAGGAAAACCTCTTTCCAAAACCCCAGCGCAGGCCAGCGGTATTATTTGTCCATTAGTGATGCAAGAGATTTAGCTATCGTGGAAATGCATCAGAAGGTTGGAAATTAGATGGATGATCCCAGGAAGGCCTGTGGATGAGATGCCCTGTGATCTCTGTTCTCCAAGCCTTGGGGGACCTGAACTATCAGAGGGGAGGGAGGAAATATGGGGGAAAGCATAGAGGTGGGAAGAAATATCAGAGGATCAGAAGCAAAAAACAACAATAACAACAGAAACAAAAACAAACAAACAAACAAAAAAACAAGGCCATAGGCAAGAAAGGGTAAGAGGTTTTCTCTGGGAGATCTAAAAAAAATGGCAATAATGAGGTAAGCCAGGCAGATACCTTTGGGCATCTCCAAGTCCTTGCAATTGGCCAAGACAACAGCTAACAACATTTGAGGCTTTAAGAAGGTTACCCTGTGATCCACTCATCTGATTTAGTGGCTTTGGCTGAAGCTCTTTGGATATAGTTGAAGGTATGGAAAGGGTCCTTACATGAGGACTTTAGGGTCAAGTCTCTTGCTAACATCCTATGTGACCTTGGGTAAATTCTTTGACCCTTATTTTTCTTACCTGTAAAATAAAAGAATTGGGCTAGATGTCTCTGACAGTCCTCCCTGTATCTACAATCTGTGCCAAGATCTAAAGTCAAACACCCTGCAAGGCCCTGTGATACATATATAAACCACAAAGACAGAGCCCCGTCTTCCTTGAGTCCACAGTTCACCCTGCATGTCCCCATCATGGTTCCCCAACATGTCCTCTGTCCCCAAAATCCAGCACCTCACCCAGTGCTCAATCAGTAGGCATTGCTCAATAACTGTTGGTGGTTCGTGAATAAATGCCCCATATGACAGTTAAAATCAGGCATCTACTCCAAGCAGCTTCCCAGGGTGTCAAGGTTCCCTGGGGAGATATTATGGGATGGCAAACTTCCCTTACTGAAAAAGTAGTCAAAGGAGAACAATAAGCCCACTCAGTAAATATCAGAACTGGAAAGCCCTTCAGAATCTTTCAGATCACTGCAGATGAGGAATGGGAAGCCCAGACTAGGGATGTGACCTACCCAGGGCCACACGGCTTGCTTGCGGCAGAACTAGGAGTTAGGAGTGGCCCCCTAGCCCTTGTCTCTCATTCCTGGGTTCAGCCCACCAGCTCAAGCTGCTTTTTGGGCATACTGGAAGACAAGCCCTGCACACCTTAGCCTCCTACCAGTTCCCATGTGTCTTTGTCCTTTTCCAGATACGTTTGCCAGCAAAGCTGCTGCCCTCCAGGATGTATATGCAGACGCCTCCATTGGCAACGTGACGGGCAGCAACGCCGTCAATGTCTTCCTGGGCATCGGCCTGGCCTGGTCCGTGGCCGCCATCTACTGGGCTCTGCAGGGACAGGAGTTCCACGTGTCGGCCGGCACACTGGCCTTCTCCGTCACCCTCTTCACCATCTTTGCATTTGTCTGCATCAGCGTGCTCTTGTACCGAAGGCGGCCGCACCTGGGAGGGGAGCTTGGTGGCCCCCGTGGCTGCAAGCTCGCCACAACATGGCTCTTTGTGAGCCTGTGGCTCCTCTACATACTCTTTGCCACACTAGAGGCCTATTGCTACATCAAGGGGTTCTAAGCCACACAACAGAGCCTCCAGCAGGGCAGGCCTAGGACTTCTCCTAAGAGAAGGGCACTTCCCCACCAGTGATCTCTCCCGACTGCACTGCCCTGGAGAGGCAGCATCAGGACCTAAGCCCCAGGAACTTCACCCAACTTAGGCCCTGGCAATTAACTGAAAGGGCAAAGTCTTAATCAATCAAACAATGGAGGAATCACCGACTTTACACAGTATTTAATTGAATACAAACAAGCAACAGCAACAAATCCACCTCCACCCCATCTCCCCCTCATATCCCTGACCCAAAGCAAAGGTCAGAGCCTTTCGCCTCCTTCTATTCCATCTTTTGATTATTCCTTTGCCTCTCATTTCTTTGGAAGCAGGGTTTCTCCTCTCTGCCCAATTCCATATGTCCCTATTATCTCACTCAGCTGACAAGACGTGAAAATGAGTCACATTCATGTGGCTGGGGTGGGGTTCTTTTTTCATTGTAATCATTATTGTGGTTGCTTTCGTTTTGCCATTAGGTTTTGCTTATTATTTTGTTTTGTCTTTTTTTTCTGAAGTGAGTGAAAAAGGTGCCACAAAGGAATTCCAGGTCCGAGCCAACAGAGAGAAACATGAATTTTTAGACACATGCTCTCCTGCCACCTCTTGGCTCCATCAAGATCCAGTTCCCCATCTCACTGTTTTCTCTGAGTTCTTGGGAGGAGTGATGGTGTTGGGGTAGAAATAAGCTCACTCACCCACGCAGGGTACTAAAGATCTTACAGGAGCTTCAACTGGAGCAGGAGGAGCTTTTTATGCTTATGTTGAATCAAGTCAGATACAAAAAGCAATTGTCCCTCTTTGCCCAAGCCTTTCCAATTCTGTGTGTCTTGTTGTGTCAGTGTCCACTTGTGTATCCTTCTGCAGGAAGACCCGCCAAATAGAAGAGATGGGACAAAAATAGGAATGGTGTGTGACGACAAAGGGCTACTGGAAGAACAAAAGGGATACAGGCCTTCTTGATTATCTTTGGCTTTGTACCTGAGGCAGGAGAGAAGAGATGTCCAACCAGTGAGATCTTTAAGAGAAAAGTTTGTATTTTAAATGTCAATGTGCCTGAGAAATGTCAGCTTCACCACGCTCTTGCTTCCTAATGCTCTATACAAAGAGGGCTGACTATATTTCTTGAAGTGGTGTAAAAACTTAGAGATTTTATAAGAGAACCAGGGGCTCCCTTCACCTCTCCTGGTCCCTCAGGTCACATATGAAAGCATTTTTACAAGATAGGAACTGGAATTCCTCATTTCTCCCATGTTCCTGCTTGTTCTTAAACTTCATGAAGCTATTTTTCCAGCCTATGGGGTAGTTCTTGCTCCAGTAAGAGGAATCTTAGTTGTCATAATCCCTTGGAGCCTGGGTTTTTGGAGAAAGAGATCTCCGTGCCCTACAGACCTTTTCTCAACGAATGTGGGAAGGACCTGGCTTTAAAACACGCACACAAACACACAAATAAACAGACATAAGATGTCATCACGAAACTGCCCACGGATCTTTAGGCTTTCTGCATTGACATAAATACATTTTCTAAGGGGGGGGGGGAAGAAATTAAAAAACACCTGTTAATTTTAAACACATTTTTTAAGAAAAAAATAATTAAAAAAGAAACAGTGCTCATGTCATAAGCTATGTTGACAGTTGCCAGTGGAAATGTTGGGTTGGTTCAAAAAAAAAATAAAAGCTATACTATATCTCTCTACATACAGCTTGCTTCTACCTGTGTTTCTTCAGTGAAAGGTCCAGGGGGCCACTGTGGGCTTCTTGTGAGGAGACGTGACTCAGGTGAAGGTGTCACCTCCTCTCACACTCAGGTGCCAATGTGTCAGACCCAGTATATTCTAAGCAAAAATACTTCAGGAAAATGCCACTTGTCAAAACCTGGACTTTGCGAAGTTGGAAGATGTAAGTAGTAGTAAAAGCTGTGGTAATTATGGAGGAAGGAGGTTTCTGTATCAGAAAGGCATTGGCCGTGACAGACTCCAGCTAGGAAAACAGTGCCCTGCACCTATTACCAACAGACATGTCTTCACTCATTCATTTACTCATCATTCATTCAACAAAAAATTTAGGAGCATGTTGAATATATTGAATGACACTCTGGTGATACAAAGAAGAGCAAGACATAGTTCCTGACCTCAAGAAACTCACAGTCTAGGCTGGGCATGGTGGCTCATGCCTATAATCCCAGCACTTTGGGAGGCTGAGGTGGGTGGATCGCTTGAGGCCAGGAGTTCAAGACAAGCCTGGCTAACAGCTCTACTAAAATTTTTAAAAGTTAGCCAGGCATGGTGGCACATGCCTGTAATCCCAGTCACTCAGGAGGCTGAGGCACAATAATTGCTTAACCCAGGAGGCAGAGGTTGCAGTGAGCCAAGATTGTGCCACTGCACTCCAGCCTAGGCGACAGAGCAAGACTCTCTCTAAAACAAAACAAAACAAACAAACAAACAAACAAAAGAACTCACAGTCTACATGGGGCAAGTGATCAAGAAGCCCACTAAACTTGTTCAAAGAACAGGGGCAATACTGCGAAGGCCTGGTGGCAGGATCTTGTGGAACCCAAGGCAGGAGGCACAGCCAGGCCGTAGGAGCCTGAAAGCCATCAGGAACTGAGCCCACATTCCCTACCTCCCCCAAGCCACCTGGCCTCTCTCACCCTTGCTTCCCTCTGCCCATTGGGCCCATCCTCTTCCTTTATCTCCCAAGGTGCTTCCTCTGATTTATTTTCTTGCACATAGCCCAGCACAGTCACCAGCCCTGACACTATATCATGACCTCACAGCTTTGATCACCACAATGAACTGGAACTTCCCTCTTTTCCTCTGAGTGCAAATTCTCTATCAAGAGAATATGGTCAACTCTCCATCTCCAGAGGGCCATTCTGAGAAGGCAGAATCCTTTGTAGAAGGCAGTCACAGTGCCTATGGACTGGGTGCTTTGTGTCAAATGTTCACTTCTGGTACAAACAACCCAGGTGTGGAGAGGAGGGTGATGATCACATTGTAGGTACTATTGCCCCTTCTAAAAGCCAAGTGATGGGAAGAGGTTTATGATGCATGTGGACACCAAAGTGCAAATGCTAATGGCAGTCCTATGCCCTGAACACTCTAAGAGTGACCTAAACAGAATGCCATGGGAACACAATGGAAGGAAACATTAACTCAGCCTGGAAGAATTGGGAAAGACTTCACAGAGAATGTAACAGGTAAGTAGGATCTTGAAGGAAGATGAAATCATGATTTACTTTGGTGAGGGGCTTCATATTGAAGGATGGACAAAAAGTGAACAGCACATTCAAAGGCACAAGGGTAAAGCATGACACGGCACAGTCATGGAATGGCAGCAGTAAGCATGGCTAGGATAGAGGTCAAGAGGAAGGCTAAGGGTAAGTGGATCCTACCTGTGGCCCCACTGTGCCCTCTGCTGAGGTTTAGAAGGTGTCTGCAGTAGGGTCCTGGGCTTAAACTTATGGCCAAAATTGGGGCTGATAAAGCAGCATCAGGAACACAATTCCTACCATGGAGGCTAAGAACAAGATGTCAATGGAATTTGTGAGTGAAACAGATTAGCACAAAAAGCAGGCAGGGAAAAATGGTTGGACTAAAAGCCTCATTCAGTTTTTTGCCAGCCACTAAATTAAAAATGAAAAAAAAAAAAACCTTTTAGCAGATTAAATGGTAGATGCAAAATCACAAAATCACAAAATCCATTTGTGTCCATCATCGCTCCCATTTTCTGAGTCCTTTCTGGGTTATCCAGGTGTTAGGCTTTGTCAAAACAGAAGCTGGAATGAACCATAGGAGGAGAATTGAGGAATTCATCCCAGGAATCTGAAGCCCTGGGTACTAGTTTAGATGCCCCCACTAACAATCCATCTTCTCTTTGGATGCATTGTCTCCCTGGATCACAATTTCCTGAACTATAAAGTGAGGTTTTCATAAATGACCTCTGAAGTCAATTACTTCTAGCTTTAATATTGTGATCCTAGAATATATACAAAAGTAGTGTGTGTGCATGTGTGCACACATGCACGCACACGTGCATGCACACACTCAAACTGCCTGGCTACCTTAATTGACACACCATTGCAGATGCCCCTTTGCAACTCCTTGGCCCTATGGCCTGTGTATTATTCAATATGAAGAAGACATTGTTAGCCATTGTGCACGTGTTCATTTTCAGCACTTCTTACTGATTGAGCCACAACATGCCCATCCCTTTGGCTCATTTTTCACTAGGGTCATGTTAGCTGCTGTAATAAACCCCAATATTTCAATACCTTATCAAAATAAAAGTTTATTTCTCACTCCCATAATAATCCAATAAAGATGTTCTTGGTCAGCAGGTGGCTTTCTTCCATGTGATGATTCAGGGACTCTGTTTCCTTCTATTTTGTAACTCTGTCGGACTCTGGGGCCCTGGAGTGTTTTTCATCTATCAGTAGATGGCACAAAAATTAGAAAAAGCACACACACACTTCTGACTACCTTGATTTTGAAGTAGTACTCATTACTTTCGCTGATATTCTTGTATTAGTAAAAGCTGGTCACTTCAACCCACTCACAAGCAAAGTAGACTGGGAGATATCATCCTTGTGGGGCAGCCACTTCCCATTGACCATTCTATACTACAAAAGGATGAAATGTGTTTGAATGTTTGCCTCTGCCACACTCCCTTTGTGATTAAAGATAGATATTTTTACTATCGAT
The DNA here is from genome assembly GCF_000001405.40 of Homo sapiens. Lineage (NCBI taxonomy): Eukaryota > Metazoa > Chordata > Mammalia > Primates > Hominidae > Homo > Homo sapiens. The sequence goes on along the minus strand of NC_000014.9, from coordinate 70,041,210 downwards.
GGCCAAGAGCAATCTGACCTATGTCTATGTGGGTTTTCATGGTTCACAAAAAGCTTTTCATATACATGTGTTTGAGTCTGATAAGAACCACAAGTGGTAGATATTCTTATTTTATCAACGAAGTTCTGAGAGGTTAGATGATTTCCCAGGAGAAAGCAGATAGTAAGAGGCAGACACAAACACAGGTCTTCTGATGCCAAATTCAAGCTCTTCCCAGAATATTATGAACCCTTGTGACAAACACCAGAACAAAGAATGAGACTTAGAGGAAGCTGGATCTAGCCAGCGAGACAGAGTTCCCTAGAGAGGCAGCCAGGGTCCAGGTGGGGAAGGTGAGGGAAGGCGAGGGAAGGCGAGAGAAGCCAGTCAGCACTGGTTCTCTCACCCTCCCACAGTTCCCTTCTCCTCTCCTTTGTCTCCATTCTTACTAAGCGAGGCACTTCCCCTGGGGGCACCTGAATGGATGATGTGCCAGTAAAAGCCAAGGGCAGACTGATGGAAATTTCCAAAAGAGAAATTTAACTGTGATAAAGCTATTTGGATTAAGGAGCCTGATTACAATTTTCTAATGGAGAGTCATCTGGCCCCAGGAAGGGGGTGATTCAAAAGACATCTTCTTGGGAAAGGGAATCCAAAAAAGACTCCTGGAACATGGCCCTGGTAGGTGTGACATATGGCATTTGTGGCATTTTCAGGAAGGAACAAAGGAGAAGGGAAGTCAAACTGACTTTACGAAAACTAAGATCAGCCTTTACTAGTAAACTTGAAGGCAATTCATTATTCTTTCTTTTCTTTTTTCTTACACTTTTACTGAAGTGTAACCAACAAATAAAAATTATATATATTTGAGGTCTACAAAATAATGTTTTGATATTTGTTTACATTGTGAAACGATCACCACAATCAAGCTGATTAGTATATCTGTCACCTCATATAGTTGCCCTTTTTTGTGATGAGAATACTTAGGATCTACTCTCTTAGCAAATTTCAAGTACTCAACACATTATCATTAACTATAGTCACCATGCTGGACATTAGGTCTCCAGAACTTGTTCCTCTTATAACCTCAGGTATGTACTCCTTGAGCAACAGCTTCCTCTCTCCCCAACCCATCCCCTGGTAACCACCCTTCTACACTCTGTGTCTATGAGTTCCAACTTTTGTAGATTCCACATATGAGTGAAATCATGCTGTAGTTGTGTTTTCTGTGCCTGGCTTATTTCACGTAGCATAATGTCTTCCAGTTTCATCCATGTTGTCACAAGTGGCAGGATTTCTTTCTTTTTTAAGGCCAAATAATACTCCATTATATGCATATTGTGTGTGTGCATATACACATACACACACACACACACACACACACACTACAACTTCTCTACTCATTCATCCATCAACAGACACTTGGATTATTTCCACATCTTGGCTAATGTGAAGAATGCTGCATTGAACATGCATATATAGATACCTCTTCAAGATGCTGATTTCATTTCCTTTGAATATATTCCCAGAAATGGGATTGCATCATTCTTTCTTAAAAATCTGGAAAGGAGGTGCAGCCCAAGGTAAACTATTCTGGTACCTCAAATCTTTAGATTCCGATTTCTAATCTTAGTCCTTTCTGCTGTTTCTCAAGTTCTTTCTAGCTTCTACCTCAGCAAAAACACAACGGGAGTGGTAGTCATTCTGTCATGTTTACAAACTGCAAATTACATCAATGGGATTGCTTCTACAGTGCATGATAACTATTCTTTTTTTTTTTTTTTTCGCTATGATCATCACCTCTGGCTGAGTCCTCACTCAATCAATTTCTCCTTCCATGACTGTGGGACTGTGGGGCAGACATTAAAACCTGGTGGCCAGCAGACTTGATGTGTTTGATTCTTACAGTGCTTTTTCAAACCTGGAATAGTTCTCAGTGTTTTGAAACAGAAACATGTTGTGTAAAAATCTGGATTTTGGCTTCTCTGGCCACACTGGGTAGGCATTCCTGTGAGGCAACAAATCCAGTGGCACTACTAAGTGGCCACCCTATCTATGTACACAGCGTTTACTCTCTCAGTTTACCAGAGTTCCTACCCAATCCACATCTCTTATTCATGTGACCAGTCCAGTCCTGAAGCCATTTGTACACATGACACCTGCTATGGACCAAGGCTTGAGGTATTGCATTTTTGCCTTTGCATGTTGATGCTTGCCTCCAGCGTTCTGTGGGGTTTGAAGCCCAGCTCTACTATTTTTACCCGTTGTGGAATTTTAAGCAATTGACTGCCTCCCTGAGCTTCAGTGTCCCTAAACCCAAAATACAGTGTTGCAACGATTAAAGAAACCATTCTCAAGTCAATTGCCATAGGGTTTAGCACCTTCCATACACCCTAGAAATGTTAAACTTGAGTATTACGATTTGGAGAGATGGTCAAGGGACACCAGGACCTCCAAGTCATGTGAGCCTTTAGACACAGTGGAGAAGAGAGACAGACATGTTTGGTGTCAAAGAAAGGGTGACATAGAAGAGGCGGCAGGCCAAAGGAGTTCATTAATGCTAATAAGTAAGTCAGATAATGGTGGGCCTGAAGAAGGGAGTGAAGCTTTGTGAGAAGTTATGTCATCTGTCCAAGGCCATTCCACAAGTAAGTGGCAGAGCTGGGCTTAATATCTAGAGTGACCATTATCTTCACATGCACCTGCTAGGTAGGTAAGATAGTTATTATTTACTGTCAGGGTGGTGAAGAAGAAAGCACAAATCATAAGTAGAATAACTTGTCTGGTTTGCCCAGGACTTTCCTGGTTTTAGCACTGAAAGTCCTGTGTCCCAGGAAATCTCTCAGTCCTGGAAAATTGGGACAGTTTGTCACCCTAAAATATTGAGTCTTACAGAGCTAGTAAGAGATGGAATGTCTACATGCAAATTCTACTCTGTTGTGCTGCCATATTTTCCAGCCATTCCATATCCTGTTACTCTTAGCTAGCATCTCAGTTACATGAGGTTCTTTCCTTGGTAGGATAACCCAAACTTTCATTCCCACAAGATTTGAATTATTGGCATGTTGCTCAGTTTTCCGTTGACCAGTACTTTTGGGCAAGGGAGTATGAAAAGGTACATCAGATGAATTCCTACATTGCAAACCCAGTCCTTCATATTCTCATTATGCAACAGCAACCCTATTTCCCCCAGGTAATTAGGACATTCGTCTCACCAGTTCAATGAACCCAAAATGACTAGGAGGCAGTATCTACTTCTAATTCATCAGAACCAGAACTCTTCCTTGGTGCAAGCATTTCTCCATTGTCACTGGGACTTCCAAACCTGCTGAGACCAAAGCTATAGAAACAGAAAGTAAGATTCTTCATGTAGGTTATTAGGCATAATAATGAGAGGCATCACCCATCTCTACCCCTTAGTCTCCAGAACTATGATCCCATCTATGGATAGATTGCACTAGATATTGGCCCCCAATTACAGCATATACTGCATTCAGTATGATAGCATCTTAATATCACAAGGTATTATCTTCTACGTGATGCTGTAATTGAGCCTGAATCAGGTCATTCCACTTTTGGGTAATAGGAAAAGTGGTAAGACCAGTGACCCTGGTAAGACAATGTTGTGAAAGATATCACTGCAATGGATAAAACATTCAAAGTCCATAAATGGACATGCTAGCAGAAACACTATGGGCAAGAAAGGCAAATTCATACCCAGAATATGAGTCTATCCTCTGTGAAGAGACTGACTGCTACATTTTCTATAATGGCAATTGTCCAAGGAAATCAATCTGACACTGTATAACCTGCTGGCCTTCCTGGGAGATATTACCATGTCAATGGCTCATCCGTTGCTTCTGCTTTGAGCAGGTCATACACTCATCAGTGGCAGTAGCCAAATGGGCCTTGGTGAGAGGACAGCCAGGCTGTTGAGTCCAAGTACAGCCTCCATCCCTGTTGGCATGCCATTTTGTTCATGGATCCACTGAGCCAGCATCAGGGTGGCTAGGGAGAGGGGCCAACTAATATTAACGACAGCATGAGTCATATTGAGAACATCTACCACCATGGTTGCTCTCTGATAGGCATTTGTATGGGGCACTATATCTTCACACTATGGGGCCCATTCCATACATGGAATTCCTAAATTCCTAATTTTTCTTGCCACCAATTAGCTTCAAGTCCTCAATGAGCCAGTCACTCATCATCCACTGCATGAGTTGGTGTAGATCCATGATTCAGGCCCAAGTGGACAGTTCAATGTACTGCCTGAAGTTCTGTCCACTGGGAAAATTTCCATCCACCACAGTCTTTGAGGGTCTCCTGTGAGTAGGGCTATAGATGGCGCTGTCCACTTCTGGCTGGTGCTGGCATGCTGTGCAGAATTAGGTTCATGCTTTTTTCTCATTTATTCACTGGTCACAGGGAATTCCCCATGAAGTCAATGTGTGGTTGAGGGAAAGGCAGCAAAGCTGTTACCTGGAGTTACCACAGGAGTCAAAACTGCCTGTTTGTGCAGGTTACTGGTGCTTTCTTGACATGAATGGGCTGTTTTCCCTATATACATACCACTTCCATTTTATAATAAATATTTCTGAGCAAGTTCAATTTTATAATTTATTGGGAAAGGTACCCAGTTCTACATGGGTAGGTTAAGTCATATGTTATTTGGTGTTACTCCTTCCCTACTCATGTCCTGAAGAGTCCTAATGGGGTCCAGCATTTAATTAATGCTGCAACTTGGGCTTGGTCCATATCCCTGTGGTCCCTGCAGCTATAGGAGAGGAGGGACTCCTTTAAAGTTTCCTGGGAGGACTTCCAGTTCTCCCTGTGCATGTTAATAGCTTTTAATTTGTCTTTTCCCCCATGTATGTTCTCAAGAGTCATGCAAATAATCAGGTGATGTCATAATTTTTGAAAATACTGCAATTGCTCTAGGAACAAAGCATTAGAACCACTTGATCCCCCAGCATCTTGCCCTCCACTTTATTCTCTACCCCATTCAGTGATAATTTGAGTATTGATGATGCCACCCTTTACCATGAACTACCTGGGTCCCATTTGCCCTCATCAAGGAAGTTGTCCTTGAGCTGCTCATGACCAGCCCAAACCCAGAGTTCCACTTTATGAGTTTGCTTCCTCCTAGGCCCAAGTGGAAGGAGAGGAGAGGTTTCAGGAACTGAGAAGGAGAGAGAATCAGGTAGATAGGCCTCTTAGAGAGGAGTGATACCTTTCAGTCAAAAAACAAAGCCAGCCCAAGGCAACCTTACAGAGAATAACACCTGTCCTCCCTCCCCTCCCACTCTCCCATCTCCCACTGGACTCCTGGTCATCCAGAGAGCACAAGAACTCCATTGATGCCATGCATAAAAGTTAGTCCCCCAGGCAGAGCACGCAGCAGGTGAAGAAGGGGGAAGAATGGCTCCAGATGGGGTAGGCAGGAGATTTCTGCACACCATATAGAGTTGTTGCAATTATTTCATGAGATAACAGGCTTAGCAAAATGTCTGACATACAGTGAGAACTCCTGGGCAAAAACACCAAGGAGGCCCAGAGAGGTGAAGCCAATGGCTCAAGGTCACACAGCTAGTTCATAGCAAAACCAGGCTGAAGACTCCTGTAGTAGGTTCTCTGTCCACTGGCCCTGACTTTCCTGCCAGACCATGTGATTTTGCTGCTGATATTAATCTGTTCCTCCATTTTTAGCTTTCCTCCAGAAGTTACAACTCCATCATACAGCCCGCATCATAATGCTTTTTGCAATGGCATGTGCATCCCATCACTCTATCTCTACCTCATTTCACTGCCTTGTCAGGTATATTTCACTATACCTTTCCCTAAACAACTCATTTTTTAGAATCTGATACAGTGAACTACTCAACATCTCAGTAGACACACTTCTTTCCATCATTTAATGGAATTTTCCATCTATATATGCTGTATGCCTCTTTAAATGTATAGCAAAGTAATTGCTATTAAGAATGCTAAATTAGGAGTTGACAGAAGTGAATTCTAATTCTGGCTGTGTCACAAGCTAAAAGTATTTGACCTGGAGATGGCCACTCCGCCTATCTATTGAGATTTTAGATTTTTCACGTATAACCATTAGAATAGGTGATTTTTCAGGCTCCTCCCAGTGCCAACGCTCACTGATGATACAAATAAGGAGGAAGAGGAGGATGACTGACAGATACTGAGCTCCAGTTTTGTACCAGGCACTGTGCTGAGTACATTACTCTTGTTATCTCACTGCTGTGTCGCAGCAGTGAGAAAAACACCTTTCTGTTTTGAGCCAGAGAGGTTGGGAAGGGTGTACTTACTGAAGCTTATCCTGGTCTCTCCTGACTGAGTCTTATGAGCAGTTGAGCAACGTGTCCATCACTGTGTGGAGAGACCACATCCAAGTATGCAGTGCATGTGACCATCAAGTGTGTGAATTCTCAGGGTTGCCCTGGACTTGTAGACAGGCCTGGTCTGGGGTACTACATACAGGACCACCGACCAGTAGCTAGAGTTAGCGCTCTGGCTAGGAGGATACAGGCAAGACAGCTTTCACAGAGTGCATCCTGACAGAGGAAAAAGGGGCAGTGCAGAGCAGGAGAGGGAGCAGGGGCTGCTTGGGTGAGGTGTTGGTTGGGGGTGGCGTAGAGGAATAGAAGGAATTGGCCAGAGTGCCCCACCAAGACTTGACGAGAAATGACAAGAGAGACTTGTGCCCCATACATAGCACAGACACTTGCAGGAGTAGGCAGGCATGGAACCAAGGTCATGGCCCTTTTCCTTATCAACTCATGAAAGGCACACAAAGGGGAATGTTGATCCAGGCCCTAGGGTTGAGAGCTTGATTCGGCAGTGCTGCATGAAAAGATCAAGCTTCACCTATTTCCACCTGTGTAGTAGAAAAAGGCCTAACACCACAGACCAGAAGGTCATGGTGCCTGGGAAGGTCTTCAGCCTCCTTGGTGGGCACAACTGTGGCCTTGCAGGTCTTTCAGGAACTTGGGAGTAAATAGCCAGATGAACAGCCTGGTGATCCAGGGCTTTTTGGTTTTGGTTTGGTTTTTTAGTTTTTGGTTTTTGTTTTGTTTTGTTGTTGTTGTTTTGCTTTTTTTTATTTGTTGGTGTTTTGTTGTTGTTGTTAATCTACAAGTGGGTTGGTGCTGCCAGCTTCCCATCCCACTTGGATCCTTTTGGGGACCAGGAGTAAGGATGGGCCTGGGGCCCCTTCTTTGTTGGCATCACAGCAGCCCTGAAAAGATGCCTGGCCCCAGCAGGAATTACTTCTCAGCATCCTGACTAAAAATGTCCCCAGTCTTCCCTGCCCCACAGAGGCTGAGCATAGCTCAGGAATCTCCAGGTGGAGGAAGAAATGGGATAGATCTATCTTGCACTTTTCCTTGACTCTTGGTCCTACTGTCCTTGGTGAATGCAGGGGAAGGCAGAAGAGGCCTGCAGCTTGCCCTGCAGTCAAGCGTAAGCTCAGACCTGCCCCTTCCACGCCAGGCTGGGTATCTCTGCTGGAGCCAAGGTCAACCCCAAACCTCCCAGTGAGGGACAAGTCCCTCCCTGAAGGGACAAGTGCCTGCCTTATTTCTCTTCCCCAAACCCCCAAGGCCTGTACAGGCCTCAGCAAAGTGGTGGCTTTTAATAAGACCCTTAACTGCTCTGGGGAAAAAATGCACTCACTGCTGGATGGAACTCCCACCAGGACCCAAGCTGGACAGGAAGGAGACAGTTGCAGTTCTAACCCTTCAAGGAAGGCAGCTGAGGAGTAGGCAGAGCTCCAGGCCTGGAGTCAGAAAATCTAAGTATGATTCCTGCTCTGCCTTTCCAGCTGGGTGACCCCAGCAAGACACTGAACTCTTGAGTCTGAGTCCACACTTGAGAAATAGGAACAATGACGCCTGTGTCACTGGGTTGTGGTACTACATACATACGACAGGGCCTGTATACATAGCACGCAGTGTCTGGCACTCGGTAAGTGTGCCGTGAACCACCTGTCCTCTCTTCTGAGCTGCAAGGAAGGACAAGCCCTGGACAAGGAGTGGCCTGCGTGATCAAATTCCGGGGCTTAGACCCTGTCGCAAGAAAGCCTAGCTGGAGCAAAGGCTGGAGGAGAGGTTTACAAGGGGAATTATCTTCTGTTCACCTGCAAAGACAAGGGGGCAGAGTGTGGCACAAGGAATCTGGAGAAGGTTCCCAAGGGGATGGCTGAGGCGGTCATTTCCAGGGACAGCTGTGTGTGCACACAGGGAAAAAGGCAAAGAGGCCGGTCACGCTGGAGAAAACCTAGAATCTCCACCCCTGCTGCCAATCCTCGTCTGGGAGTTCTCCAGCTCTGCAAACCAGACCTGCAGCCTCAGCCAGAATAGATACCCCACAAAACTGGGGTACAGGCTGAAAAACTCCACTGGGGGTCTGCTCCCCACCTATGGCTACATTTCAGCCTGGCGTCTTGTCATCTGGATGATGGCAATGTACCCACTTTCAACAGCCTGAAGCCATGGAATAGGCTCTTCCCCAAGCCCTGCCCCCAAAGCTCTGCCAGCAACATTCCCTACATTCCAGTGAGAGGAAGGGAATGGCAGTCAGGGAGGGGCATCCCGTGGGGCAGACATGTGGGTGGAGGTAAGAGGAAGAATTACAGAGAGTGCACAAACACCTTTAGCAAGGGAGTCCCCTCTCTAGGTGCAGTACCACACTGGCCACTTCCGGGTCCCCTGCTAGGTTCATCATTGGCAGCACCTCAGATGTCCTTGGATGGAAGTGGAGAGCACCCAGGCCAGGGAAACGAACTAAGCTTTCTAGGAAATAAAGCCTTTTCATTAAAGGAAGCCACCCAAAGAAAGAGGCAACAGCCGCCAAGATTTACCCATTTTTTATTTTTTATAAAACAAGCTACAAATAGTTTCCCTCTCTCCTTCACAAAGGAAAACCACACAACACCACCTACACACACGATCCTGTGGGAGACAAGATGCCTGGGGAGATCTCGAAGATCCAAACATCTACAGGCAGGCGCCGTCTCCATGTGTGCATGCTTCCTCCAGGCCTGAAAGTGGGGCCAGTGTCTCGTGCAAGGCCCACTCAGCTCCGGCACGTTGAGTTCTCTCATTGGGGCTAATGGGAGAAGGCTTCCTTCCCACCTTTCCACGTTGGGGCAGGGCCACCAGTCATTCCTGAGATAACCTCTAGGACTTTCTCCAGGACAGCAGGGACCTCCTTTAGCCCAAGACCCCATCAGATCCTGTCCCGAGAAGGTTGTGCTCCTCCCACAGGGACAGTGCTTGTGGTGCCAACGCCTTCCAGACCCGGAACGGGTGGAGGTACTTTTAGGGATGTCGGGTTGGAATACAAGATGAGGCCAGATTTGCAAGGGTGATCTGAGGAGGGGACCAGTCCAGGGCTACCCAACCTCCCTCACTGCCACCACAGCTGCTTATGGGAAGGGGCGCTAAGGGCCACTTGCTGCTCTGCCTGAAGGCCACTTGAATAGGCACAGCACCTGGGCAGAGGGAGCTGCGCCTCAGACCAGAAGGCTGGGCAGCCCACCCTAGAATCCGCGGAAGATGCCTGTGATGCCTGTGGAAAGCTGGGCCGGGATTTCCCTGTAGCTGGGTTATCACCCCTGCCCTTCTAGGGGAGGCAGAATAGGAAACCCAAGATCAGTTTTACTTCTGGAATTAGCTTAAAGCCTGGAAGCCCATAAGAAAACTTGAGGGAACAGGAAGAACCTCAGTATTGGGTTTTTAAAAAACCAACAAAACAACTTTAGTGTTACCAACAAGGTGACTGACACCTCCCCCAACCCACCCACCCAGGCCTGTGATAGCCACTAGGACAACAGCAGGAGATGGAGGAGTGGAGAGGTCACACCCAATCTGCCCCTGGCACTGAGACAGCTGCGTCTCTGGGAGCCTCACTGGTAGGTTTGCAGGGAGGTGAAGAGTTTCCCTGTTGGCACCGCACCCCTCAGTGCAGGCTTTCTGTCCTGTCCCCTCCCCTGCTTAGATATTAAATATCTACTTTTTTAAAGGCCCTTCTGTGTGTCTTTTTCTTCTTTGCCTCCCCTCTCATGCGTTATACAGAGTAGATGCTAAGCATGGATGAAAACGTTTCGAGTGACGTAATGCAAATCCTTTGTGGATAATTTGCTCCGAGGGTCACTAAGATACTGGTGCACCCACCAATGCTGGGCCCTTTGGGGGTCCGGAGAGCAGGAATGCACGGACCCTCTGAGAGCCGGTACCTGTGTGGGCTATTCATGGGATCTGGACTCCCTTCCTCTCCCAGGGCAGTTTCCATCTCTCCTTAGCCCAACCTCCCTGGACAAGGCCGAGAGCCAAGTGACTTATCAATTTTGACAACTAATGGCATGGGGCAATATAGTCCTCCCACCAGAAAAGAACTCGTGGAGTCCGCAGTACAATTGCAGGACTCCCGTCTTTATACACAAGGGTCAGTCTCCAAACAGAAGTTTAGTAGGCCCAGGATAGAGTCCTGGATTTTAGAAAGCTGGACTATGTGTCCAGAGTGCCCACCACCCACAGCAGGCAGAGGGAGAGAAATAAACAAACAGCAATGCCAATGCCTGTACAAAAGAACTATACAATTTACATATATATTTATATACAGCATATAAATCTCTTTCTTCTCAGCCCCAACAACACCCTCCCCCACCCCCCCAAAACCCTCTAAAAGTTGTCAGTAGCAGATCCAAAAACTTACAATAAGAGAGAGAATAAAGTCTTTCTTCCCTTTCCTTTTCCCACTGTGGTATTAGATATTGGTGTTTTAAAATGAAACCAAAAACAAAACACGCAAGTAAGAGTTATTAAAAGTGCAAACATGGTGGGCACCACTTATGTTACACGGGATGTGGCAGGGCCATGGGCAACGCTGAAGGTTAGGTGTCTGGTGATCCATCCTGCCTCCCTGGACTCTCCACCTGCCCTTGGGTTTTCTGCTCCTTAGACGAGGCGTCCTACTGAGAGAAGGAAGGAGAATGCAAAAAAAAAAAAAAAAAGGTCGGGGGCAGATATAAGCAAGAAGTTAGAGTTGGGCTTGTGAGAAATCCAGCTATGTCCATCAATTTCCCCACAAGTGCAGCCTTTTCCACCTGCTGTCCTCTATGAGGCTAGGTGGGGCACAGGTTGCCTGGACTTGCAGATGAGCATGTTTTACCAGCCTGTCCTTTGCCACTATGAGGCACCACCACTGCAACTGAAATAAGTCTGGCATTGGAGAGAACGAGGCTTGGCCTAGGGAAGTGTGGGTTGCAGGGTGTGCACTCTGTTCAGATCACACTACTCTCACATGCCAGCTTTTCAACCTGGGGCTGGGGTGGAAACGACAGGGGTTTGTTTACAGGTGGGGATGGCAGAATCCCATTGGCACTGACCCAATAGTTCTCTCGTGTCCTCAGCAAACAACCTGAAAATGGGAGCTTAAGTCACCTGGCCAATCCCTTCACCCCTGAGGAGCCCAGAAAGGGGCAACTTACTGAATGGGTTTGTGCCTGCTCATTTTGCCTGGGGGAAACTGCCAAGGCTACCACCTGCAACAAACCAGGAACATGTGACATTGAGTGGCCTTGACCAGAGAACTGGCACCTTCTTCCGTATGCTGGGTCTCTGTCCTCTCTGACCCTCAGAATAAAGAGCAGACTTGGGAAAGAGCAAAAAGTTGTTTGGCCCTACTTTTTGCTCTGTGAGTGTCTATGGCTCAGGTGAACTTATTACTGGCCAACGCCTTCACACAAAGTCCCTTTTCCATAAGGCCTGGCTCCTGCTGGGCACCTCTTTGCAATCCCTCAGCTATCCACTAAGAAGGGCTCTGGTGCTGATGTACCTGGACAGAACTGTCCCAGGTCTTGGTTCCCCGAGTCACAGAATGTCAGAGGTAGAAGGAATCCAGCAGCAGCTCAGAGCAGAGGGGCGACTTACACAAAGTCCCAGCCTCATTCTGCTGACACCCACATCTCCCCACAGGGTGCTGAGCCATTGTGGAAACTGCCACGCCTGCTCCAGCAGGTCCTGGCCTCTTGAAGAGGAGCGAGGAGCTGGGGGCAAGCACATCAAGAGCTGCCCCCCGCCACCACTCCGAGATGCTTAGGGCCACGTGACTCTGTGCATGCCCCTGAACCTCTCTGGGTCAGTCTACAGCCTGGGAGCTAGAACCACAGCTGTACGGCTTCTGCTCTGCCTCCCTCTCAGAATTGCCTTGAGGATCCACTGAATTCATGGAGGAGGAGAAAGGGCTTTGAGGAGTGTACAGCGCTGCAGAACCCAAGCCCACCCGCTGGTCATGTGAGCCACAGCTCCATGTCCCCTGGGTTATGCCAATATTCCTTACAACTGAAGAAAGGAGAGCGGACATGGGGTGGAGTGGGCGTGGGGTGGATATCGGTTTATCCAATTTTACAGAGGAGGACATGAACTCTAAAAGAAGGTGACAGCCCCAAGGCAGGCAGGTGGGAAGCGGCAGAGTCAGGCTGCTGACTTCAAATCCCACCTTTCCTCCACTCCCTCCAGCAGCTGCTTCTCTCCTTGCTGAGTAGAAAGGTCAGCACATCTAAAAAGGAGGTGCACAGCAGTCCTGCCCACCAGGCTGAGATGTGTGAAGCAAAATGGACAGCTAGCCGTAACCAGCTCTTTTTCATGGAGGCTTATGTGCTAATCCTGTTACCTAAGTCCTATCAGTTAATCCTCAGAGCGACTTTATTTGAGAGTGATAAAATTATCTCCATCTTAGGATGATGAAACTGAAGCTTGGAGATATCAAGTAACCCACCCAGGATGGCACAGCTTCCATGCGGCAAAGCAAATTCCGACCTAGCTAGCTGCCTCCAGAATCATGCTCTGAGCCATCAGGGAGGATGGAAGAGAAGAAGGCTGAGCCCCAGGCAGTTGGCATCCTCAGACAAGGCAAAAGAAGAGCGGATAGTTCTGAGAAAAGGAGGCACTAGACCCCACCCCGCCTGCCTCACAGGACAGTGACAATGATCCCAGTGAAGGTGCTTTATAAATTGGGAAAGTGAAGAAAGAGGCATGTTATGCAGAGAATTCAGCTCTCCAGGGAGGAGTCTGGTTGGTAAAATATCTGTGATCCAGTGGAATTTCCAAAAATTCAGTCCCTTGGACCCAAAACTCTACTGGTCCCCAAGCTCGGCATCCTTCCCCCAGCCAGCTTCTGTCCCCACCTAGCATGCAAGCCCCTCGCAGCCCACCAGGGGGCACCGCACGACACGGGATGGATGACCGACGCATAGGCTCTGCTCCCGGAGCCCCTGCACACCATTGACCACAGGGGCTTTTTTCTGCCGCCCTGCAGAGCAGAGGGATGGAGGGGGCAGTTCTGAAACTCATACCTTCTTTCCCGGACATGTTCCTCTACCGCTACCAATTTCTTTTGTGCCTTCGCTATGTACCAGGTACCGTGCTAAGTTCTTCACACACATTATCTGATTACATCCTCACCAAATCGTTGAGGTAGGTACTATAATCTCCACTTTGCAAATGGGGAAACGGAGGCTTAGAGAGTTTAGGTAACTTGCCAAGGATTAAAGATCCGGTAATTGTCAGAGCTGGGATTAAAATCAAGCCAGGCCCATCTGACTTCAGGGCCTCTGCACTTACTCCAGCCCCTACTTGTGCCTGATCATGGTATACCCACACTGCTCCTGGGCCTCTCAATAGTGGTCCGTCATCCCATAGGCACTGCCTGCCTGGAAACTGTGGGCTTCCCCACTCAGGTTGCTGGTGGCACCCTCACCCCCTGCAACACCTCTACTCCTGCCCACGCTGCCCCCAGGCTGGTCTGCTCCCCCTCTTCCCCAGACTCCCCCACTGGCCACTCCCTTGGCTTCACCAGGCAACCAAGACTGGCCTGCTCACACAAGGCGACATCTTCAAACACACTGGGGTCCTTCTCCTGGAGGGGACAGCAGTCTGGCCCAGGAATCCTGAGGCTGGGCCAAGCGCCAGCAGTGGTGGTACCTCACATGTACCCTTGAGCAAATCGCTACTCCTCTCTGGGCTAGCCTTGACTCCTAGACTGCAAAATGGACTAGAGGACCCACAGAGCCTTCTAGCTCTGGGCTGCTTGGGTCCAGAGCAGTGTGTCCTGTGGTGTGTGTTGAAATGGAGAGTGGGGACACAGGAATCCTTTCTGCCTCTGCATAGGCTTTAAGTCTACTCAGCCTCCACTTCACCCCACCCCATTGATTAATCCTACATACCCTCTTCCTCTTATCTCAATGTTCTACTCTCCCTCACTCCATCACACTCATACACACACATATGCAGACACATGCACAGACATACACAGACATATGCACAATGCATGCACACATGTGTATAGACATGCACACATAGCCATACTTAAAGACATAAGTGTAGACCATGTACAAACAGACACAGACATGAACACAGACAGGTGCACACTCAGGCCTACCCACAGAGACATGCACAAACAGACATGTGTATATACATTCAGAGACATGTCACAGACACGGGCTTTCTGGCCAGACTTTCCATAGTCCTACCTTTGAGGTGAGAGGTTCAAGAGGGTGTATTGGGCCAAGAAGAATGACAGTTGCACTCCAAAGCACCCTAGGGGCCTCTGTGGGCAAAGCTATGAGGATAACTGAAACTAACACTTGTCTGCAGCTGAGCCTGGATTGAGGAGGAACATCCAGATGACCAGGGATCCCTAAATCTACATTCTACTTCAGTTTTCTCTGGATGCTTCTGTCAGGTCCTGTATGTCAGCTGGGACTGGCAGACACCTGGTGCCTGGAAAGGCTTCAGAGGAAGGCTAGGAGGAGTCCCTGAGCTCGGTGGATCTGAGCTCACCACACTCAGCCATTGCTTGGCTTCCGTGTGCTGTGCAGACCAGAACTACTAGCACGGGAAGGGGGCCGAAGGCAGGGGCAGTACAGAGCATCATCGCTTAGCCCAGGAGTGCCCCTGGTATGCCTGGGGTCTACATTGACACTGGATGGTCTCTTCCCGACATTGGCCATCTGACTGTGCTCTGCGAAAGGACCACAAATTCCAAGCGTGTCAGAGCATAATGTCACCGGAAGGGGCAACCCCCCCATCCATTCATTCCTTCACTTATTCATTCATCTAACAAGGACTTAATGAATTACCAGGTGCCATGTACGGTGCTAGAGGTTAGGAATTGAGAGAGAGAATCCTTTTGGCTTCAAGGGGTAATCGGAAGAGTAAACTGCAACACAGTGTAAGTTCATCTTACAAAGAAGAATAGTAGTATTGAACTTCTATTGAGTTATTTCAATTTCTCAGGAACTTTGGGAATGCTTTAACTCACTGTCCCATTTAATCAGCACAACAGTCCTATGAGATAGACTCTAGCATTTTTCCCATTAAGCAGGTGAAGAAACTGAAATGCAGAATGGTTCAGTAATTTGTACTGAATTGAAATCCAAAATGCTTCAAAATCCAAAACCTTTTAAGTGCTGACATGATGCTCAAAGGAAATGCTCACTGGAGCATATCGGATTTCAGATTTTGTGGATTTGGGATGCTCAACCAGTAAGTGTAATGCAAATATTACAAAATCTGAAAAAGTTCCAAACACTTCTGGTCCCAAGCATTTCAGATAAGGGACACTCAAGCCGCATGTAGTGAAAGAGCGAGGCCGGGACAGAGGCAGGGTTTGAACCATTGACTCATTGCTGAGTCCTGGAGACTCAGAGTACTATGGGAACAGAGAAGCATCCGCGTCAGACAGGCATGCCCAGAGTAATGAAGTCAGTCACACACCAGTAAGCCCCAGAACCAAGGCCAGAAACCAGCCATGGCGGGGCGGGCGGTGGGAAGTGGATCCCAAGCCCAGGTTCCTATGGGAACCCATCCATTTCCCATGCTATTCTTTGGGTTTACTCTGACAACTGAGGAACAAGGAAAAGGCCTTTTTATCTTCTTCTGCTAAACTCTCTCCTTAGGAAATCTCAGCTTTTCCAAAGCTTCCATTTCAAATAAGTCGGCATCACCCAAATCTGCATCTTCAGACCCTTCACCTGCATTACAGAGCCACTCATCCTTCATGTGCATCCAACTCAACGTGTCCAAACCATACTTGGGCACCCTCTACATCCCTCTATACTTAACCTGCTCTTCCTTCCATGTTGCCCATCTCAGTGAGCAGCCATGCCTCCAGCTGAACAAACCTACCTTTGTCCCATACCTAACTTGATCTCCAATCACCCACTTCTCTCCATTCCCCTTACCCTGCTGTGTTTTCATAACTTGGCCCTCCATCACTCTAGCCTGGACTGTGCCATGCCTCCTATTGGATGACCCTGCCTTGCTCATTTCCAATCCATGTCCCACCCTGAAACCAGAATACTTTTTAAAGAAAAACTGATACTATCAATTCTCTGAACGCCTTCAACAGCTTTCCACTACCCTTATAAAGTCTAAAGTCTTTCACCTGAATTTAAAAACTCTCCAACTTCACCTTGCCTCTTGTCACCACCCCTGCTCTTCCTACCACTGTTAAAATATTCATTTCAGTCACACAAACATCCTTCAGCTCATTGAAAACTGTTTCCTTGCCTCCAGAGCTTCACTCCTCATTTGCCTTGGCTTAGAACACTCTTCCCTCTCCTGACCTCTCTGCTTGGCCATCTCCTACTCATGTTTCCAGTAATGGGTTAGACCATGGGTTGGCAAATTTATCTGCAAGAGACTAAATAGTAAATATTTTAGGCTTTGTGGGCCATATACGGTCCCTCTTATATATTCTTCTTTCAAAAAAAACTTACAGCTCTTTACAAATGCAAAAATCATTCTTAGTTCACAGGCTGTACAAAAACAGGCCACAGACTAGATTGAGCATTCAGGCCATTGTTTGCTGAGCCCTGGTTTAGGCATCGCTTCCTTCAAAAGTTTTTCAAGGCTGTCTGTCCCTTAGAGTCTTGGGTGCCCCTATATATGTTGCTACAATGCTCTGCACTTGCCCTGCTGTGACAGAGCTTACTAGGTGTTCACCAGAATTCATGCTGCTCTCTTCTTGGGTTCCCTTCCCCTAGTGACTGAGTTCCAGCCAATGAATTATGACCAGGAATGTGTGTCATTTCCAGGGCTGGCCCATAAAACCCAGCCTTCCTAGTGACCGAGCTCTGGTCAGTGAAATACCAGCAGGAATGAGTGTCATTTCCAGGACTGGCCCATGAAACTCCCTCACATGCACTGCTTCATGTCTACTCCATCTGGTTGACTGAGGATGGAGATGACCCCCAGAGTAACCTTGGAAGCCACATGATGAAGATGGCAGAGTCACTCTCAGCCTGGATCCCAGAGTGACTGCATAGAGCAATCCCTGCCCCTACTCCTACCCCTACACACACACACACACACACACACACATACACACACTCACACACACACACACCCTACAACCTGCGACCATGCTGAACTATTATATGGGAAAGAAAAATTTTCCACTGTGTCAAGCCATGATGTATGGGTCTACTTGTGACTGTAGCCTGGCCCACCCTAGCACACTCTCACAGCATGTATCACAGCTCATGTGAGTGCTTATTTAAGCTCTGTCTTCTGTGCAAGGATAGGGACCTTATCAGTCAATTCCACCACTGTCTCAAACATCTAGCATGAAGCATAGCACACTTCCAGCAAATAATTGATGAATAGATGAGTATCTGGAATCTCATTTATCAGAGAGCCCTTGGTCCCATGCCTGGGTGGGGGCAAGTATTGAAAGGCCAGGAGCACAGGGGAGAGCACTCACCTTCTTTGCTAACACCCAGGCAGCCCTTCAGCTCAGGCAGTGAAATGACCTTGTCTTTGTTCAGGTCACAGTAGTCGGTGAAACGCCGGGCACATTTCTTGGGCTTGGCTTTCTTCTTCACGTAGCGCTTGAAGGGCTTCATCTCCCGCTTGTTAATGTCGTTGCTGCTATTGCTGTCCAGCTGGCTGAAATACCAGTGCACTACCCGCTCCTCCAGGGTGTGGCTGGGGTCTGGCTCTGAGAACCTGGGCCATGGACAAACACCCCCACCGCAGAGAACACCAATCAGGATCTTGCAGGAACCATCAGCCCTGGTATGACTGCCCCCAGAAAGTCAGGTAGAAACGGCTCCTCCAAGCCAAAGTCCACCCACAGCGGCTCAGCCTGTGGCAACGTTAAGCCATCCTCTCCGACTCAAATCCTAAGATTGGACCATTCTTTTCTCAGGACTCCCCAGGTGGGTAATCCTTATTACACAAACATGACTCACCCTCTACCAAAGCCAGAAATGTTCTTGTACATGATGGGTGCTCAAGACAAATTGGCTTGATCTAATTTGCTGAATAAACCAGAGCTGGAATCCAAATTGTCCCTCCCCTGGCCTAGCACTCACTGCGGACAAGCTGCTCATTACACGTAAACATGTGCCCTGTGGTGGACTGACTGTGGGGAAGGTGCTCTGAGCATCCACTGTACGCCCAGTGCCAGTCTGGGCCCTGGAGGGTGCACCCCTGGCCTCAAGTGGCTCACTGTCTCTATGAGACAGAGCCAAAAAGGTGAAAATAGTCATGACAACTGAATGTGGGGTGTGAGGTTCCCACGGTCCATCACTGCTGGACATCCAGTGCAGTGGGAATTGAGAGAAGAAAGCAACTGGGTCAGACACCAACAGAAGTTCCAAAACTGGAAAAGCCGGGACCTACTGGGGATGAGTCTCTCCAGCCTGAGGTTTTAGTCAGGGGATCTGGGGTGGACCCAGGAAACCATGTATTCACCAGCACTGCCAGGTGATTCTGCTGAGAAATGCTGGACTAGAGTCACCAAGAACACTTCCTGGCATCCAGAGGCAGAGTCACAAGCACATCTAACACAGCCCCTCATCAAGTTACAAGGCCAACATCTACGTCTACATGTGTAACTGTATGTAATGGCCTACTCATCTATGTTATTTACTTAACTGTCTCCTATTTTCTCCCAAAACGGAGTCAGGGTGATAACTACTATTTACAATTTTTAAAGCCAATAATGGGTCTATTACAGAGGGGCTGCCTGGGTTCACTAACGAGGAGAATGGAACCCCATGAGCCCCATGGCTCCTGTTCCCAGGGCTTGGCACTGAGTGACTGTGATCTAGGCCCTTGTGCAACTTCCCCTGGGGAAGGAGAAAAAGATTGATGTTGGGAGTCCCACACATTCACATCCTCAGTGTGCAGGGCGCTGGGACAGAGCACATGACTACCAGAGGTCAGAAGTGGGGCAGAGGGCTCACTGTTCCAGAGGGATCCTAGATCAGGGTCGAAGGCCTGTCTGCACATTCTGAAGCTGTTCCTGGTGGGGAAACTATTCAAGGCACTTGTCATGCCACCCTGACTTCTCTGGGGTTTGCTGAGTTTTCCAGAAGGGAGATAATCTCTGACCCCTCCCCTGTGAACAAGCCAGCAAACTCCCTCCTCTTCCACCCCACCAAGTAACGTCCAAGTTCAGGGAAAAAGAAGTTCCATTATGCGGGGGGAAAAAAAGCCAGTCATCCATCCCTGTTAGATGCCTATTCCTAATTAGCTGAATTTCAGTCTTGAGCAGGTAATCCGGGCATCCTGGACTGATTCCAGGAGGATGCAATTAGTGGATCTGCCAAGGGGACCTCATCGTGACAGGTTTAACTCAAAGAGTACCTGGCGGAAGGTGTGAGGGAGCCGTGGAGAGCTGCCAGCTGCCTCTAACTTTTAGGAAATCTGCTTAGTCTGTCATGGAAACCAGGCTCAGGAGGTCTTTGAAACAGGCATGAAGTTATTCACTGAAGAACTCAGATTTTGTCTCTGCCAGCATACACAGTATTCTGGTGTTTTCCATCTTTCCCTATTTTACCTGCAATATTCACTGTTAAGACGGCCCCTGCAGTGCATACCAGCTGCAAAGGCAGAAAATTTTGTTGGAATTCTATTGGTGCAGGTAGGGGAGTGACCTGCCTGTCCCTGCCTTTCCCCAAACAGCAGGGAGGACACAGGCTGTGGAGCAGAGACAGAAGGCCCCCAAGGAAGGAACTCAGTTCTCTCAAGCAATGAGGGAGGCAGTCAGGGACCTTCCTGCTCAGCCCCTCCTGCCAGGGAGCCATGAGAGTTCCAAGGCAAAGGCAGCTCTTCCTTTAACCTTTAGGCTCAGTATAGCGTAATGTCTACCTAGAGGCTGGAATAATAAAGCCTCAGTCACTGAGACGGGAAGGGATGAGGTCATCCCACCCAGAGGCCCTGCCAGGGGAGGCGCACTCCCTCCAACACGTGTTTCTGGGGCTCCCGCCTGTCCAGCTTTCAGCCACTCCATTGATAGAGCTCTGCCACCCTCCTTTGGGCTATTTTGCAGCAAGAAGCAGTTCTTCTTCTGACTTTACAACCTCCAAGAGTTTCCTTCCATGCCTGAGAGTGACCATCATCTGACTCCTGCCCCTTTCCCTGCCTTTCTTCTGATTTTCCCTTCCTGACATCTCCTTGCCAGAAGAACAACATTTTGACTCTCTTCACTCCCATCAAGGCCTCCCAGTGCAGGGCAGCCACGACTTCTGATTGCTGCCCCCCACCCTGCCTGGCTCCCAGCTGAGCCACTGGGCTGAGATGTGCAGCATTCACTTCCTCAGGAGAGATCCTCTGAGCCCCTCCAGGTAGTGCCTCTGGGCTCCCTCTAACACTGGCATGACTCACAGCCTGCCCTGTGAGGCCCGAGGGTCCTGTTGCCTTCCTTCCTCCTTCCCAGCTAGCATGATATTCTCTGCTTCTGAACTCCTTCGGCTGCCAAAACAACCCTCAAATCCCTAAATAAGAGAGCCCTACCTCTACCTGTAAGCTGGGTAGCCCTAGGGTCATCTTTGGAATCCAACACTTTGGCCAGGCCAAACTCCAAGTACATTAATAGCAGAAAATTTCAGCTTTGAGTCCATGAGGGATTGTGAACCCTCTGAGAGCCTACACAAAGATGTGAGCTCTCTCTCTAGAGAAATGGACATACACAGAGAAGTCTGCAGATTTCAGATTAATGGACTCCCTAAATCCATTCAAAGTCCATGGACTCAGGTTAAAAAAAAAAAAGACAAAAACAAAACAAAACAAAACCCTTGATCTAGAGGAATGGAGGCTCTAGCCATGGCCCAAGAAGAATATTTAAGCATGATGCTTAAAGAAGAAGATGGAGTCAGACAAAAGACAGTAGCTGGAAGGGTTTGGGGATAGTTTCCCTACTTCCAACAAAACTATTGAAGGCAATGGATTTAAAAACTCTGTAAATCAAGTTTCTGGCCTGGCAACAGCCTTAAGTCACAGATGAAGTTGACAGCAGGTACCCACTATGCTTTGTACAAGCTCTTGGCTAAGACTTAGATCCAGCAGGAGTCCTAGCATAGCAGTAAGTCTGTGCAAAAGAAGACCCAAGAGGCCTCTGTTAACTGAACAAAATCTGAGATTTTTCCTGGGGGAGTGCTGGATAGGCATGGAGCAGGGAGGCCTCCCCCAGAGCTTCAGGAATCTCTCAAGCAGTCTTTGCTGGAGACTTTCCATCACAGTTAGACCCCCTCAACCACAAAGCCATAGCCCAAGAAAGCCCAAAGCCTTGCCCCTTCCCCTCCCAGCTCCAGGATTACACTGGCCTCAGGCTCCCAACCTGTCTCACACAAGCACACATATATTCCACTGGAGGTCAGGACTGCCGAATTCAAAGCTGGTCATCAGGCAAAGGCTGGGGACCTAAGTTAGAGGGAGCAAGAGCTCCTTAGGATCAGTGTAACAGCACTCGCTTGTCCACACTGCAGACTTCTCCATGGGTAAAGTACTACTTCTACTAAAAGGGCTCACTGGGTAGGTACAATATCCAAGTTTCCTTGGATATGGTATGAAAAGACACACCCAAATGATACCAGATTCCAGATTTTAGAAGACTATGGTTCAGACAACATAAGCCAAATAACGTTGGTGTCTGCCCTACCTCTGGGCTGTTTTTGTGACTGTCCTGTTGACTTCTGCCTCCAGGGATGAGGAAACCCACTAGAGCCAAGTTCCTCCCCAAACTGGCCCCAAGGAGCCTTCTCCCAGTTTCAGAGGTGGCATAGGCTACACTTCTCCCACAGCACTTTCAGTTTTGCTTCTGCAGCCTCAGCCCCACCAGGCCTTGGCTGCAATGCACAGCTGGAGAGCCAGCTCCGTTTACCACAAGGAAACCTGCTTTGGCCAAGATCTCGGGCCCAGTTCTGCTGTCCTAAGCAGTTTTAGAGAAGGTAAGGCGGGACGGCCTGGAGGCACTAGCCAAGCCAAGCAGACCAACTGAGCCCCGTCTGGAGTTGGGTCCAGGCCCCGCCAGCTGTGCGGGTGCGGCTGGGAAATGCCAAGTCAGCCACATTCCAGCCTCTTCCTTGCAAAGCCATCAACAGGCAACCACACTGGGCAGGAAGGAGGAAGCCACAGTACAGTCTCCCCTCAGGGGACCACGTGAAGGGCCAAGAGGCTCACACAGCCCTTCCCACCTCCCCTCAAAGTTGACTTTCCCTGGGGGAGGGTGAAGCCAGGAGAGGGTTCCCCTGCTCTAGAAGACTCTGCCGGCTGAGATCTCAGAAATCTTCCTTTGGGACTGATAAATGCTAATGGGTGCTGTGGGAAGGCTGTTCTAAGGGGGAACACTGCCTCCTGGAGCCCTGGCCAGAGGGGCCAAAGGGATAACTCACTCACACAGAAAACATTCACCAAGAGGGACTATCATCCATTGATATTTGCAATGCACACCCTCCCACGCACCTGCCATAGAGTTTTCACAGACACCCCATTCTACTCTGCCTATTTTTAGATCTTTGTAGCACTGTTTTTTGCTAATAAATCAGGCCAGAAAAGGGAGTAGATGCCTCCCACTCTTCTACTCCCTGCATGTAGCAAGTCTTGAAATCCTATTGATTTCTTTACAAAAGCTTCAGCAAATCATCCCTTTCCCACGGTCCATGCCCTCATCACCCTTCATGCTGACACTTGCTATCGTCTTCCTGCCTGCCTTGCTCCCCTCCAATCCTGCTTCCATAGTGCCATCAGGATGACTCTGCAAAAATGCCCACCTAACCCTGCAGCTCCCTTCTGCCCTGCATCTTGACTCCCAGGGCCTGGCACCAGCTGGGCTCTGCTCAACTCTGCAGCCTCATCTCCTACCTGTCCCCAGCCTGACTCCCAAACATAAACCATACTACTTCTTACAATTCCTTCCACACTTCCTACCCTGTTCACACCTCACTACCCACATGGTCCCCTCTGCTGGAAGGCCCTTACCCCTGGTCCATCTAGGTCAGGCATTTTCCCACTCATAAGGGAAGATGGGGCTCCACTGTTGCTCCCATGGAAGGCCTTCCCTCACATGCTCTGGCTCCCCAGGGTCCCTGCAACACTTTCTCAGCCTCTATTATCCTACCGACTTTATACTGCAGTCATATGGTTGTTCTGTATCTCCCTTCCAGACCAGAAATGATCCCCTTTTCTTCAGATGCCCCAGAACCTAGCATGGAGCTCATACCAGGGGCGGGTTGAAACGTGAGAGCTGATGCAAAGCCAACATCTCCATGCCTGACAGGAAGTAGACTGGGAGGAAGGCACCTTTTTTCTGCACTGTCCAAACATCTTCTATCCCTTTTTCCCACTGTCCCCAAGTGAGACTGTTTCCCTGGCCCCAGCTGATGTCCAGCTTTAACTACTAGAGTCTGAGAGGATAAAGGAGGGATCAGATGCGGCTTCCTTAACCTCATGCCTGTAGCCCCAACTCTGCCTGAATTCCACAGCCAAGGCCAAAACTCAGAATGCCTGGATTTCCTAATTGTCTTCGTCAGTCCTGTTCCAGACATGCTACCTGACCTCCAGCTGCCTCATACCTCTGCTCCTCCATCAAACAAGAGGGACAACTGGCCAGGGTCTGTCTGCATGGCGCTCCAAGTCCCTGGGTCCTGGCCAGGGTACCCTCGGGCCCTGGTTACAAAATAGCACCACAGTAAACTTGACAGCTGGCTCCAGCCTTATACTTGGTCTTGTGGTGGTTGGTTGACCCTCTGATGTGTGCCAGAAAGAGGTCTTATCGAGACAGGGATCCATCCATCTATCCCCCGTCCCTCTAGCTATTTATTCATTTATCATATTTTACTGGGCACCTACTATGTTCCAGACACTAGTCTAAGCTCTGGGAATACAGGAGGGAAGAAGACAGAAAATGTTTCTTCTCTCATAGAACTTAAATTCTCCTTGGGTTTAGGGAGACAGATAATATATCAACAAGCCAGCAAAATATCAGACCGTGATATATGCTAGGCTGAGTTAAAAAGGGGTGCTGAGGTACAGGGTGAACAGGCAGCTCCTACAGATTGAGTGGTACTTGAGAAGGTGACATTTAAATAGATAAGCAGGGGCCAGTCATTGGAAGATGGGGAACTGAATTCTAGGAGCAACTGACATAGAGGTCCTGGAACAGGCAAGAGCTTGACTTGTTTGAGGAACCAGAACTGAGGAGAACCAGTACCTGGAACATAATGGTGGGAAGGAAAGGAATATGTGAGGAGAGGTGGGGCCGGCAAAGTTGTCCTGAAGGGCCAGCCCAGGTCAGAGTTAGGGCTTATGCTGAATACAGTGGGAAGATCTGGAACAGCCTTAAACCCTGTTACTACACTGGTAATCCTGACAGCTACCTTCCTGGATAGCAGTTTCTCTCTTTCTTCTCCCTTTCCCCACCCACTTCCTTGATTTCTAAACTATTTCTTGAAGCATCTTGTCTGTCTTTTGATTAAAGTCCATCCTCTAGGTAACATAACTACCAAAGGCAGTTCAAGTCTTCATTCCCATCAAAACCAAGTATGGTCAAGCTAATATGAGCTTAAAATGAAAAACATGTTTTGAAAACAATTTTTTTGAAAAACCTCTTCCAACTCTAAATGACGCTTAAAATAGAATGGAAAAAAGATCCTCTTCCCTAAGGACACACTGATATTAAAAAGTTATAAATTTCTCAGCTTTCATTGCCTGTAAAAATCCCTTCTGTCTGTCATTTGAGGATAAGGCACAAATCCTACCTTCCCCTGGCAGCAGGGCCCATCTGCGTCCCCCACCTGCGGCAGAGCCCACGCAGTGCTCTTGGGAAAGCAACCAAGAGGAGCTTGAAGTCCTGCCTCCTTAGGACTCAGGCAGAAGTGCAGGTGGGACCCCTGAGCTGGGGGGCAGTGCCAGGAGCCTGCAGGAAGGTGTAAGTGGGAAGACCCCAGACCAGAAACTTTTAAGCCCACGGACCTCCTTTTTTTTCCTTTTTCCCTTTTTCTCTCTCTTCTAAACATAAATATAAACATAAAACATAAATCTTTCATGCCTGTTTTTGCATGAAACAACAGGTATTTTTTTCATATTCTAAACACAAGTAACATCAAGGCCAACAATACTGCCTTTTCAAAATTCACCTTCTCCCCTCTTCTTGGAGATCTGGATGTGCTGTCCTCTCTATCTCGGAGACTGAGCAGCTGAGTGCCACAGGCCGCCTCCAGCAGCTCCCGTCTGTGGGCCTGTTGAACCCTGTCTTCATCTTTCTCAGACTTAGTGCTGTGCTCCTCCTGGAGGAGGCCTGGCCCCCACCCACAGGGGCGGCAGAAACAGAGCCACAGCCAGAAACCAGCCTCAGAGCTCACGGGACCATGGGGGGCTCCGGGCAAGCACCCCAACAAGCAGTTTCCAAGACGGGCAACCACTGCACTCACTTTTTTCTTTTTTCTTCTTTCGTTTTTTTTTTGTTGTTGTTGTTAATTTTATTGTGGTAAGAACATTAAACAGGAGATCTAGCCTGTTAACAAACATCTAAGTGTATAGCACCGTGCTGTTAACTATAAGGACAATGTTGGACAGCAGATCTCTGGGACTCATTCATCTTGCTTTGCTGAAACTTGACACCCATTGGTTAGCAACTCCCCAAACCCCTGGCAACCACCATTCTGCTCTCTGCTTCTACATGTCTAACTGTTTCAGGTACCTCATGTACGTGGAATCATGCAGCATTTGTGCTTGTGACTGGCTCATTTCACATAGCATAATGCCCCCAATATAACAGGATTTCTCTCTCTTTTAAGACTGAATATTACTCCACTGTATACAAATACCGCATGTTCTTTATCTAGTCATCCATTGATGGGCATTGAGGTTGTTTCCATATCTTGGCTATTGTGTGCACTCACTTTGATTTGATATAAAATTGGGTTTTCAAAATGGCTGCCTTCTTCTGCCTCAGGATGCAGAAACGTCGACAGCTCCACTTGGAGCCCTAAACTCCTACCCTAAACACATACCACATGGTCCTGCCAATCACCACTGAGGGAGCTATGCTGGGGTCCTTCCAAGGCCTAGGCTTGTTCTCTTTGTGGCATTCCTTGCCTTATGGATAACAGCTCTGCCTCTGGGCAGATGCCGGGGGACTAACGCTCCCTCCTCAGTGAGCCATATAAGTTCAGAGCAGGCTGCCCATCCCTGCCAAGCCTAGAGTACCTCCCCTCCTGCTGTAAGGAGCCTAGACACTACCACACTTGTCTCCAACAGTCTCTGCTGTGCTTCCCCTTCTGGCTTCATGAGCATGAGCAGAAGTCTTACTCAGCATGTCTCACAGGACTTTCGGGATCTGAGTCCTGCCCACCTCTTCCATCTCACGATTACCACTCTTACCTCCTCTGCTTCCTCCTCCTCCGCCTATCCACCCCAGCCCAAGCTAACTGAACCACAGACATGCACTTTCTTGGAGCCACAGTATCCTTTCCTTCTCTCTGGAATGGCTTTCTCTTTTCTTTATCTACCTATCTTTTCTTTGATAGGTAGATAAGTCCTACCCATTCTTTAAAACTCAGCTCAGATATCACCTTCTCCAGGAAGCCTGCTCTGACTCCTCCAGACTGAGTGAGACAACCATTCTCCATTCTTCCACCTCTGTCCTAGCACTCACCACAGATTTTGTAAGTATCTATCTATGGTCTAGTATCCCCGCTAAGCTGCATCCTTTGAAGGTGGGACATGCCTCTATCCCCAGATACCTCATCCTTAGCCCAGTGTTTGCTGTGTTTTCCATGTTCAAAAGGTGGTAAGCGGATGGATGAATGCGTGCATGCATCTCCAACCGACTGGCCTAATGGGCCCAAACTCATGAGTGCCAGCAATGCTGGTTACTGGGGAGCATGTGCATTTCAGCCTCACATCAGGACTGCCTCAGCTACCACCTCAATTCCTGACCTGAGCTGTATTTGGCTATATGAGTGTCCAGTTCCATTGCCAAGAGCTCCTTGGAATTCTCAGGATGCCAAAAAGGCATTTGGTTCCTGCCTTCTAGGAGAGAAGAAAATTGCAAAGTGCTTTGTGCTCCCTCTCTGCCTCCCTGTTCCCATGATATAACCATCACCCTTCCTGCCATTCAGAACTCTCACTCCAACCCATCACCTTCTGAGATTAAACAGCTGGAAGTCCCAGACAGCCCTGGACTTTCCTATAAATCAGGTAACTAAAAGCTAGGGACAAGCAGCTCCCAAAGAATAGGGAAGGTAGAGGGGCAGGAAGATTTTTGACAGAAGGCGGGTCAAAGCTATGGGTACATGGTTTCAGGAAAAAGATCAACTTCCAGCCCTTGCCCTCCTCAAACCCTGCCCACTCTCTCACCCTCCCTCAGCATTTGAAAAGTCAGGGGCCCCACATTTTTCTCCTGGGCCTGATTCCTGCTCACAATCTCACCTCCCACCTCCAGTGGGCGCTGCTGAGTTAATGGCCTGAACCATGTCAGTGGTGAGAGCATCCAGTAGGCTGGTGATAAACTCCATTTTCTTCCCTTCTGGACAGCCTAAAAGATAAAATGAGATTTGAAGGTAGATGCCAGATAATAATCAAGTCAACAGCTTTCTCAACTACCATCCTTTCCTAAACTTCTCAAAGCCCTTCTTGTCCAGCCAAATCCACTTTAGTGATTTGTTTACTGATCAGATGAGTCTCATAAACTTCCATAGTTCCTTTACCCATACCCCACAAAGGACCATCAGACCAAATAATGCTTTCAATTTTCTTCCATTCCACACATTTTTGCTAGACATCAACTCAGGCACCATGTTAAACGCTAGAGATACAGAGTTAACAATACAGAAGGTCCTTATCCTTGTAAAGTTCACATCTACAGGGGAACTCAAGCTAATAGCCAAGCAGTCGTCCTAAAGTGAGAAAAATACTGTGCTAGGGGTAAGAACTAGGGGCTGTGGGAGCACAAAGGAGGGAGAGAACCCCCAGTGGTCAAAGTTGACTTAAGTACACCTACCACCAGATCCATCCAAGAGCCTCCTCCTTTTTTCACTTCCCTCCTCAACCATCTTACATTATAACTACAGCATCTCTCTTGTAAATACTCCCAAGTCCTTGTTCCTTTTTTCCTCCTTGTATTATTCCAGGAAAACACAGTAAAGCACAGAAGAACCTTCTATAGATGTGCCTTTTCCATGTCTACACCACGTAGCTGGGGAAAACACCACCACACAACTGGATAAATGGGTGTCCTATAAAGTCACGATCACCAGCACCAAATGGGCCCTCTACACTACTCCCAGTGCTCCTCTCCAAAGCAACTCCACATAGAAATTAGCAACTAGCTCATTCTCTTCTGTCCCCAAATCCTCCAGGTCTCAGGTTCAACACTTGCTTCTCAGAGAAGCTGTGGAATCTAAAGCAGGTTCTCCCTGCCATTCTCACAGCATGTTCCGCTTTTCCCTCAGAGTACCCACCACAACTATCTATAAATGCCTGTATTCATTTATTCATATCCAATCTGTCTCCTCCACTCTGTAAGTCTCATGTCAACTTTGACCACTAGATTATACCCAGTGCCTGGCACATAGTAGAATCTCAATTCACATTTGTTGAGGGGTTAGCTAAAAGGGGTACCCTGGCCACCATGACTCCATTCTTGTGATGGGGTGATTTCTACAAACCTCGTGTGGAAAATCCCTGACTCTTAGAACTCTCTGCTTTCAGTTCTCACTTGGAGTCCTGATAGGTCATGGGAAGGTGGCCCATTTCCCACCAGCACTAATCTGACTTTGTGCTGTGTAAAGACAATAAGATTCCAAGCCACCAATATTTAGTAATGTTACTGTAACTTGCAGGCAGAGATTGCTATAAATAAGGGGAAACCCGCACATCAGCCATTTGGAGGTACCAGGGCCCTGCCTATGTGTCTTGTGTCACACTCCATGGTCGTCCTGTGTCACCAGGGGTCATCTGCCTCTTCAGAGCAAGCAACAGACACTGTCCACATCGCTCAGGACAGCCCCTCCCTATAAGCTATCTTATCCTCACAGCTCTGGAAAAAATAACTCACAGTGCTCAAAACATTGTCCTCATGGACCTCAGATGGACAACGCATTGTGGAACTGCAGACGGGATTTTAACCCGATGACTGCATTATAAAGACGAAGAGGCACAAGGAAGAGAAGCAATGTGCACAAGAGCAGAGCTAATTAGGGATAAATCCCAGACCAGGATGTAGATCCCACGGCTCCTGGCTCCATCTTACACATGGGGAAACAGACAAAGAGGAGACAGCTTCTTCTGCATAATGAGAGGGTGGAGGAACAGAAGGAGGTGATGGCGCCGGCAGGGCAGCATCGTCTCCCACCTGGTAGCTCCCTGTCCTTGAAGGGGTCATCCGCCTCTGTAGTCTTGGCCCTGGCGTCGCTCTCACAACTGGGCATCACGTAGCTGGGAAAAGAGAGATATGGGGGGGGTTGGGAGGGGCTGGCAACTGAGCCTACTTCAGTCACTACTGCCCAGCAATGATCTATGTTGTCACCAAGCCTAAAGCACTGAGGGTGGGCAGAACGATATCTCTTGCGCTGCCCGGCAGCTACAAGGCAATCTTAGCATCAATGTTCCCACTGAGACATGTTCAGGCATGTCATTTCAACCACTCAAGCATAATAACAATGATACTTGAGCTGCACGCAGTATCTTTTTTGATCCATGGAAGCTAGTGGCTTAGAAAGGGCAATAATCTCATCAGGAAACTGACGTTCAGAGAGGTTAAGTACTGTTCCAAGGTCTTAAGTTAGAAAGAGACAGGCCTGTGACCAGAATCCAGGTCCCAGGGTCTTTCTACCTGAAACTCTTCTACTCATTGAAAACATGGCTCTCCCAGGCACTCATCTCCCACCAGACCAGGGCAGGAACACTGGGAGATGCCAGCATGGATAACAGCCAGCAGGTGCGTTTTTCCCAGGACCCAGTCTGGGGGGCTTACCGTGTGGAGGTCCCAGGCAGCGGGCGCCCTGTGTCCACCAGCACACACCAGCAGTAGCCAGTGGACTGGTGGCATTGCACTGGCTTATAGAGTCCCCCAGGGGCACATTCAGGGATGACAATACCCTCACGGGGATTCTGCTGGGCCTCTTCCAGGGCACTCTGCCTCTCCTGGTCACACGAATAGACTTTCTCTGCAAGAGAAGACACAGCCTGTGGTGACTATCACTCCTGTGATTTAACACTCCTGTCTTCTGTGCCCAGCATCCAAAGTAAGTAGCAAGGACCAGGCCTGGACCCAGGAACTGATGAGCTGCCCCATTGATGAATTACCACAGAGAGCTGTCTCCCATGCCAGCGCATGCTGAGGGGCCTGGAGGTTCAGAACCTCCCTGTGGCCATCTCTGCTGCCAGCATTCATTAGCATTCCCACCAAATAGGTTCAACTGCAGCAACAAGCCAGCCAGGGACTCCAGGGATGCCCCTTCTCAGAGTGGCAGCTTGTCCCAAGGGTGGAATATCTCAATGTTTTCAGAGTGGCTCCTGCTGATGTTCTGTCTGTGGACTGCAGGAGAGGTGGGTGCAGGAGCCTGGCTATGCTGCAGGCTGATGCAGGAATGCTTGTGCATGTAGACCCTTCCACGCCCAGACACAGCATGATGGAGCCGTGGCCATCAGCCTCATGTGGAGTGATGCTCGGCACCCAGGAGGAGCAGAAACAAGGTCCAGCCTTGGCTTCTCCCCACCCTCCAAGGCTGCTGGACAAAGTAGGCCGAGTGAATTTCAGTGAATTACACAATGCTGCTTCCATCCAATTGGAGAGAAAACAGGCCCAGCCGGATGGTGTCTGCACTCAGCAGCCTCAGTAACACATGAGCATGTCTGAACAGCCCAACCTGGTTTCCCCCGAGCCAGTCCCCGGCTGAGACAGAGCGTGGTGCCCTGTGTCCAGCATGGCCAGCTCCAGGGCATCTCACATCTGCACAGCCACTTACCTGAAAATTCTTCCCAATCAACCACTTAGCCTGCCTGGCTTTGCTCTTTGTCTTTTTTTTTCTGGTTTTGTTTTTGTTCTAATTATTAAAAATAAATAGTGTTGGGTTTCTTATTATAAAGAAGTTTTAAAAAAGAAAGTGGAAAAACCTATAATCCTGCCAAAGTTAAACACTGTACCTTCCCTAGATTTTATGTACATACATACATGGAAATACACGTGCACACATCTACTTTTTTGATAACAAAAGAATCACATCATAAACCTGTACTATTACTTTATTTTTCATTTACTTGTTTATTTACCTACTATATTTTTTTCATACCACTATTCTACAACTCTTCTCTTGAAGAAATTGACAGGAATGTAGTCTTGGGCACCCACTGAATGTTTACAGATTGTTACAAAAATACCCTTCTTAAGAGCAAGGAACTTGGTATCAGCAACCTGGAGAACCATGTTGTGCACTGAACAACAGCACTCAACTCCACTTTAAAGAAGCCAACTTCCTTGAAATAATGGCTCTGTTAATGACACACATATAGGTAAAGCACGCATGTTTAAACAAACCATAGGAGTACACAGAGACACAAAGTAGCTCAATGCAGTTTTACAGATAAGTCAGATGATAGAAAAACAATGCTATGTCTCACTGCTAGGAAAATGCTCGAAAACAATAGCCTGGTGATTCTCATTGCAGGGTAAAAATATTTCCTTAGGGGCATAAAAATATCTGAGGGCCAGGAGGCAGGCACATATAGCATATTCACTATTAAAATAGAAAATGTTGTTTTGAATTTGGGAAGTGAAAAAAAACTACTGTTTTCATAATGCAAATATAGAAAAGCTAAACAGAGTCTCCTTGGCTAGAGGAAGAGGAGTTTAAAACAGCTGACAGACATCAGACTTGGGTTTTGCCTCCAACTGTGACTACCACCAGAACAGCATCTAGAGACAGGAAAGAGACAGAAACTGAGCAGGGAGAGGGGCCTTGGGAAACCTGCTTTAAAGATCCAGCATTTTGACTTCAGCCCCTGGCTGGGAAGGTGCCATGGCAACTTCAAGGGGATTATGCAAGAATTTTTCAATAGCTCCCCCAACCCCAATTTGGTAGCCTTATTTTCCTACCTCGTATTTCATGCCATGAAAGAGGCAATAGAGGAGCAAAACCAAAGGAAAACAGCTTTTTACTGACACCACGTTCATGTAACAACCTCTGACAGAGGATTTAAATTAAGACTCTCCAGGCCAACCTTCTAAAGCCATAAATCAGACCGAAAGCAAGAGGCAAAGAGAGAAGGGGGGCGCTTCCCCAGGGGCAGAGCAAATAATGAACCTGACTTCACACCACTGGGGGTCCCGAGACCCTCAGAAATGTGGACAGAAGCCATCTAAGAAGAGGCACAGACTCGTGGCTTGGGCCCTGTTGATGGATTTCTGGAAGTCCTTGAAGGCTGTTCTGAGCTGTTTATAGTCAGTGTCTATGAAGTTCCATGGAGAATAAAATCATTAAAATGCCAGGCTCAGTGGCTCATGCCTATAATCCCAGCATTTGGAAAGGCTGAGGCAGGCAGATTGCTTACCCCAGGAGTTTGAGACCAGCCTGGGTAACATAGCAAGACTATGTCTTTACAAAAATAAATAAATAAATACAAAAAGTAGCCAGTGTGATAGCACATGCCTGTAGTCCCAGTTACCCAGGAGGCTGAGGTGAGAGGGCCACCTGAGTCCAGGAGGTTGAGGCTGCAGTGAGCCATGATCACGCCACTGCACTACAGCCTGGCCCACAGAGTAAGAACCTGTCTCAATAAAATAAAATAAAATAAAATAAAATAATAAAAATGATAAAGCTCACTAATTTGGAAAAATGGGGGATAGCAAAAGAATTTTTTAAAAGCCTGACTGCAAGGTTTATTACTTTTTTATTTTATTATTTTTATTATTGATTTACTACTTCATTACAGTATCTGCAAGTCCAGGTGCCTCTAAGAAAGAGACAGGAGTGATTTATCATAATAGCACTAACCCTCTGTGAAGAGTACACAGAGAGTTTGTCTTACAGCAAAGAGAAAATCTCCCTTAAAATCATCTTTACAACTAATAACAAGAAAAACAAACATTCATTGAGTGATATGTGCCAGGCAATAGACTAAGGGCTTTACCTAATGAATCCCTTTGCCCATGTGAGGTAGGCACTATTATTACGCCCATTTTGTAGACAAGGAAGCTGAACGTTGGAGAGATTAATGGATTTTCCCAAGTTCACTCAGCCAGGAGAGAGAAAGGCTGGGGATCCTGACAGTCAGGCTTGACTTGCTAACCTCTAGACAGTGTTGCCTCTAACCATTTGCTCTAGGAGACAAATAAATTTATTTTTACAGTGAGCTCTTCTATGTCAGTGTCTTTGCAGACTATCCCAAATCTGCTGCATTCAAAATCAAATGTGCTGGACACAGCACAGCTCCTTCTGACCAATGATGTCTTCTCGACCTAAGCACGCTACAAATCTTGTACCTGGATATTTTTCTCTCTTTGCCTCAGAAGCGGAAAACTTAAAACCAAATTTAACTCATCCACCATTGCAGAACTCTAAAATGAATAACAATAGCTAACATCTATTTGAGTATTTACCATGGGCCAGACTTGGAATTAGGTGCACTATGTGTATTAACTCACTTCAAACTCATTACAAGCCTTTAAGGGCAGTGTTGTTATCCTCATTGAACAGAAAAGGATGCAGAAACACAGACTGGTTGAGAAATTGGATGATCATAGAACTAGGAAGTGGCAGAGCTGACATTTCAGCACTGGCTGGGTGCTTCACCTCTGCAAGATCATCTTCTTGCCACAGGCTAATCTGATTTTTATCCTAACCTATATTTTTCTTTTACTCACTATAGGTCATCTCATTACAAAACAGTCCCCAATGAACTGTGCCTCCCCGTGATCATGGCCTTGTGTGGACCCCTCCACGTGGACTCTGGTTTGCTTTGGCCAATAGAATGTTAGAGGCAATGCTGATGTTTTGTGTCAGGCCGAGGCCTCAAGAGGACTTGCAGCTCTCGCTTTCACTTTTGTGGAAGCTGCCCTAAGATCATCACAAGGAAGCTGGTCTCGCCTACTGGAGAACAAGAGGCCACAGTGAGGAAAGGGGAGCAGCTCAGGTCACAGCGAGTACCAACTGCAGATGTGAGAGGGAGGTCACCTTGTACATTCCAGCCCAGCTGATCCTCCCCTACCTGGATGAGTCCAGGATTAAATTCAGGCAAAACAAGTATCCGGCCAACCCACAGACACATTAGAAAGAATTAATTATTTTTATGGTAAGCCAGTACATTTCGGAGCAGTCTGTTACACAGCAGCAGATAACTGAAACATCTAGACCTCCTTAACTATTCATCAATTTACCCTGTACGTATTTTTGTAGCCCTGTAAGCCCTTCAGTCAACCAATCAATTATTCTTGAAGGGCTTCTCTAGAGGTTATGGGTCATGCATATGCTAATCAGTAAGTACCACAGGGCATAAGCTTATTCCATATCTGAGGACCCAAATTTGTAACTCATCCACCATTGCAGAACTCTAAAATGAATAACAATAGCTAACATTTATTTGAGTATTTACCATGTGCCAGACTTGGTACTGGGCAGTTTGCTTGTATTAACTCACTTCA
Organism: Homo sapiens; assembly: GCF_000001405.40. Lineage (NCBI taxonomy): Eukaryota > Metazoa > Chordata > Mammalia > Primates > Hominidae > Homo > Homo sapiens. Next base: position 70,006,281 of record NC_000014.9, on the reverse strand, counting down.
AACTCAAACAAGCCTCTAAAATAGTGTTCTTCTTATCCTCACTGAATAGAAGAAGGTGCAGAAACACAGACTGGCAGAGTCATTGGATCAAGATCACAGAACTAGGAAGTGGCGGACCCAAAAAGCCAGACCACCCATGGGGCCACTATCATCCTCTTTCCTTCTCAGTTACCTAAATCCCAAATGGGTCTTAAAATTCACATCTATCAGTTTTCTTAGGTACCAAGAAGTCCCCTTCCAGAATGCAAGACAGGGGGCCTATTTTGTGGGTCTCTTCATGATCATGGGTTCAGAGAGGGAGCTCCCCAGAAGTGAACACACACTATTCTAAAATAATCTGTGCTCAGGAACACTCAGGGAAAGATGACAAGATTAGAAGGTCTGGCCAGGTATCTATGAGAATGGGCCAGGACCATCTGTAAACACCTGGAAGCCATAAACGGAAGGGGAGAGGGAACAATCAGGGCTGTCCAGGGGGGCATGGAAATGCATGGCCACACATACACACTCACACGCCCGCCCCTATAATCCTGTCCCTCAGATGGTGCAGAGAAGAAGTGAGAGTCAGGTCATTCCGCACTTGGCAATGAGTGGTTAAAGTTTCACTGACAAACCTCTGACTGCCTAAGAGAAGAAACACAATAGAAAAAACATCCAAGCAAACTGTCCAGTACCTAGTCTGGCACATGGTAAATACTCAGATAGAAGTGAAACCATGTCCACCCCTTGTCACCAGAAGGCACACAACCCTGTCCACCACTAATTGCACATAGCAAAGAAGGACCAAAGTCCAGCAGGAGTGGGCAGGGCAGGAGACAGGAGAGGAAAAAAGAGGTTGGACCAGACAAACATGAACCCTGTCTCCAGGCCCAGGGCACGGGTTCTTTCACATCCCACCAAGAGAGGATAAGCCTGGAGCACAGCTCTGTCGGCTAGGACTAGCCCAGGCCTCTGTGCCTCTCAATTACTCATGGTGATTAGGAACAAAGGAAAGCATGGATAACCTAAATCCTCAGCTAATCCCCAGACTTGATTTTAGCCCAGAGTTTAGTCTTTTATCCCAGAAACCTTTTCTTCTTCATCATCTTTTTCCTTTCTCTTCTTTTTTTGTTTAAAGCAAAAATGGCCAAAAAACATAAACATTACAAGATTTGAGTTTCAGATCTTTGGGCTGGCCTTTCTTTCTAGACACTGCCTTCCAGAGGAGGAACTGCTGAAGAAAGGAGCAGACAGAAAAGCTGAGATCCTGGGTAACCCAACACCAAAGCACCTTCTGCACATGCAGTCAGCAGTTATTGGTAGACCAGCTATGCTGTAAGCTTTTTGGAGAAAGAACATGGGAACCTCATGGTGATGGAGGAAGTGGAGGTCAAAGGGGGAGACGGGTGGAGAGAGCAGACAGTAGACAGAGAAGGTCTGTGTCACTCAGGGTTCTGCAGAGAAAGAGAACCAACAGAAGACAGAGACAGGCGTATATGTATGTGTGTATGTATCTTTATATCTATTTGTTTTGGAAGGGCTAGCACAGGGACAAGTGCTAGATATCTACAGATTATAGATACACACACATATACATAAAGAGAGAGAGAGAGAGTGATATTTTAAGGAATTGGCTATGTAATTATAGGGGCTGGCAAATCTAAAATATGTTGGGCAGGCCAATAGGCTAGAAATTCAGGTAAGAGTGATGGGGCAGTCTTGAGTCCAATATCAATAGGTCAGGTCAGCAGACTGGAAACTCAAGAAGGATTTCCATGTTACAGTCTGGAGAGGGAATTCCTTCTTTTTGGGGAAACCTCAGTCTTTGCTCTTAAGCCCTTCCACTGATTGGATGGGACCCACCCACATTATGAAGGGCAACCTGTTTTATCTGAAGTCAATTGACTGTAAATGTTGACCACATCCACAAAATACCTTCACACCAATATCTAGATGAGTGTTTGGCCAAACAACTGGGCAGGATGGCCTAGCCAAATTGACCTATAATATGAAGCATCGTAAAGTCCATCTGAAAAATAAGTGCAAGAAAAAAGGCTAATCTTACAGAGAACCATACGCGGAAGAACTGAAGAAGAGCCACAAGCCATGAAAACATGGACTGGGAAGATGCCTTGATGAATGATGCAGTCTTCCTGGAGAAAGAATCAGAAGCTCTCCCAGTGGAGGCTCGTTTGGTAACCAAGGTGCCTACTCTGGCCATCCAGACAGGGAGTTCCTTACACTACAGAAAAAGTAAGCTGACATGGTCCTGAGAGAGGAGGACCTAAAGCAGGATCCTGAGTAGAAAATGAGATTAGGGCCCAGGAAGAGGACACAAAAAAGGACTGGGACCTTGTAGACCCAGGTTATCACCCAGGATATTACTGGTTGTATATGTACTGGGTGCTGGCATCATGTCAGGTGCTGGAGAGGCCAGAAAAATCCTCTAAGATGTAGCAAGCAGAAAGAATAAACCATGAGATCTTTGCCTACCCTCATTCTAGGCCATCCTCCATCCCTGAAGCTTTCCCTGAGGCCCTGCCTGGAACAAGGCTAGAAGCAGTGGAGGATCTGCCCTCGTGGGCCCCTTGTCCTCGGTACCCTGACTTCACTGGATGCAAGTTCCTGGAAACTAGGGCTCTGCACATCCTTCCTGAGCCTTCACCACACCCGTCTCTGGTGGCCATAGGAGAGCCATGGAATCTCTGGTGTAAAAGATTCATAAAGGGTACTTGGTCCAAGAACCCTTCTATTGCTTGAGTCCCCATTATGTCACCCCTCTCACAGAATTCTAGTCTGACACTTCAGAGATGGGGCTGCCCACTGTTGAATAAACCGTAGGGATGAGACCACAGAGGCTGCAAAAAGAATATCTATCCCTTTGACACATCCTGGGAAATGCTACACTCAACCCTCAGACCATCAAGCACTGGATTTTCTTGGGGGAAAAATCAATTAAAATGTTACCCAGACTGAAAAATGAGAGGCACTTACTTGGGTTTCATTGCAAAAGGAGTTGTCCCACTGAGCCAAGAATATTAAAGAAAAAATTAGCATTGTATCACCTACAGTGACCCTGAAACCCCATCAAATACTTCACACCCACCTAGTCTCTTATCAAAAATGAATGAAATGCTGAAAGATAACCCAAAATATCAAACTGTGTGTTGAAAACAACCTTTCTAAATTACAACATGAAATTCCAGAGGCATAAGAAACCACATGGCTCCAGCCTCAGGATTCTCTAGGTCAGCGTGCGAGCATGTGAGAGTGTGGTGTCGGGAGTGTTCCAGAACTGTAGGGTGGCTGAGAATTTGGCAGAGGAAGGCACTGCAGGAGTAAAAGAGAGAAAGATAGGACCAGGTTGTAAGGAACTGACTTTGCTGTTTCAGAAGGATTAGCACAGGGACTAGATGTGGTGCCCCAGGGAAGGGTTGCTGCACTCCATGATTTATGGGACATCACTGAGCAGGCCCTTGCTGTTTATTTAGCCACAGGGGGTTTTAGCACCTATGGTTTCAAGCCAACTATGTGAACAGGTTATTTTTCTTACTTGTGGACTTTGCACTTTTTCACAGGAGGGGCTAAGTGGCCCCCAGAGGATCATTTTTCCAAGCACCATTTGCTGGGCCGACTCTGCCCTGCTACCATGGCTTTCCATCACGCACACCACTCAGTGCCACTTGGCCATCGCCAATTCCCAATTCCCAATTTCTCAACATCTATGTGACTCAGAGTTATGCAGGGGCTCTGGGAGCCCCTGATGAGGGGGAGAGCCCACAGAACCATTGCTCAGGGCTCCTTTCCAAATAGAGGGTAGACAACTGGCCCAGAAAAGGAAAGGCTCTACCAGGGCAAGGAAAAAGCAAACATCGCTGGCAAACAGAACAAAGTCAGCCACCGAAATTGTGCTCAGGTTTGTATCAGGTAGAGGGAGGGTATGGGGAGAATAGAAACAGAATTTGCACGAATTAAAGTCACACTTCTGTTGGCATGGGTTTTTCCATCCCCTTTAAGCTAAAAAGCCCTTTCCCCCACAGAATAGGCAGCAAAAGAAAGCAAAAATCTAACATCATCCCTCAATTGTAACCTACAAAGGGACCCGGGAGGACCCCCTGGAGGGAGCACCTTTCTAATTAACTCACTGGCCAAGAGAAGAACTGTCTCCAGCTCCAGCCCAGATGGAGATGTGAGGATGGTCTAAAAGCTCAACTGCCAGAGAGAACTCAGGGCGGTCAGAGGGAACTAGAGGTAGGGGATGAGGGAATACTAGGGCTTCCTTGGCAAGGCTAAAAGCAGTAGTAAGTGCCTATCACTCCTCCTGCATACTCCTATCGAAGGGTCTGGCATGTTAGGAGGTTCTGAAGTCAGCAACAGTTGGAATAGAGGCAATATAGGCAGTCAAGAGCATGGGCTTTGTGGTCAATGATTCAGGCTCTACCCCTTGTTTTCTCTGTGACCTTGGCCAGTTCAGGTTCCTTACGTGTAAAAGTAAGGTAACTCTTGCACATGCCTCACAGGGTCATTGTGAAGATTAAATGCAATCGTGTGTGAAAAACATTAAACCTGGTGGCACAGTAAGTTGCTAAATGGTAGCTACTATTCCTATTAGCTTGTCTAAGGTAGCATTGTGGAGCAAACATGGTCTTCCTGCCCTATCCCTGTGAATGACCCGTCTCCTCAACAGGACTCCAGTAGCTGACCAAGGGCAGGGGAATGGAGCAGTATGCTCCAGAGGCAGGCAATAAAGGGGTATTAGGTCTGTAGGTAAACTAAAAAAAATATGCACATATAGCTAAGAGTCTATCTGCTTTTTATAATCACTATGCCAGCAATTCAAAACAATGTCAGTGATAAAATACTCCTCCCCACTGGTATGGACCACACCATCACCCCCCATCCCTTTGGTGCACCACTGCCCAGTGGTCAGCTCCTGCCTTAAATGTTCCTTGTATTTCATCCTTTGACCCCTCAGTGGCAAACAGAGGCCTTAGCACATGATAGTTCTTGATGGATCTATGACCTTGGACAAGGCCCTTAGCAAGTCTGGGCTCCTGTTTTCTCATTTAAAACTAAGCGGCAATGCTAGATGACTCTCAGGCCCTTCTCACTCTAACGGCCCACAGTCTTACAATTAAACAAAATCAGGTGCACTTCCCAGTGACTCAGGGGCCAGATCCAAACTTAGCTTCCCAAGTCCCAGTGGAACAGAGCACCAGGAAGGGGCTGGGTTAAGGGGAAGGCTGCTCGGTGCTCTCAGGTTCTCCCTCGTACCTCATACCTCTTTCCACAGCCCTGCTATGTGGCCTGTGAGCCACACCTAACCTGCTATGTCTCGGAGATCCCATCTTCAGCACAAAAGTAACACCGTCCACCCCATATCCCTGACGTTGGCCGAGGCCACCTCCTCACAGGGATGTTTACAGTTGGCACTGTAAGTAGGGCATGCTGCTGGGATGAAGTGTCATGGGTGAGGAGGTGTAAGGGAAAATTACAAACCAACCAGCCTGTCTAAATAGTTTCTCTCTGTGTAACCCAAAATGGTCATGCATGGCTCACCATGGTCTGAAGTGGTGACCGCTTCCTTCCCACGCAGAGACTGAGTTCCTACAGGGCAGGGAAGAACAAGATCGAAATTCTACAGAGGATATTTCTTCCAGGATGGATTGTCCCAATATAGCATGGAGGCATTTTTCTTTTTAACTTTTCCCCCAAGGCATCACTGACTCGCACCCGCTCAAATTTTAGAAAAGTTCCCATCTCTATTGACTCATGGCATTAAGTGAGCAGATATGACCCTTCCACCAAAAAGAATATGAAATACTTCACAGTATCTTTGCAATGACAAGTACTGAGAAATAGCAAGCTGCCTTTTTTCTAGTTTTTCTCAGTAACTTCATTGGCTTTAACCTGACAGTCTCTGTACTTTCATTGGCCTTAAACTGACAGTCTCCGTACTTTTAAGAGCAAGTTCTAGCAAATAAAAATTTAGACAGAAAGGGAGGAGAAGGCACAGACAAAGGTGGAAGATGGAAAAGCTATTTAAATTTATCAAAATAAAGTATCACAACTTCACTCTTTACTCCCCAAAACATGAGTGTTGCCTGTGTGAGTGTGTTTATGAGATGTAGACCCCGTCTACTTCCAAAGCCACTTTACAAATAAACACAGAACAAGGATGCTCAGATCTAAGCAGAGACTGTAGTTGACTTCCAGAAAATTGGAATGAGCCAATGACAATACCTGGGCAAGATCTTCAATTTCAGTGTCTTAGCAGCAGAGGCCAAAAGGAAAATACCAGGGCACGTAGTTTTGCTATCTAACATTAAAAAGCAGACACACTCACCTCCAGAAACAGAAACAGAACCCTTGCTGGTGCAGCACGTCATCCCAGTGCTGTGTCCTGCAGCACATCCCTCCACCCTCCCACACCTTTGTGTTCCAAGCAGACAACATGGGGCAAAGGAGCAAGGCGACCAGGAAAGCTAATTTTAAAACAAGGTAAAAATGGACTGTGCGGCTAGGCTTCATGGGGCCTCCAAGTGTGTTTATTGCTTCTCTCCGCAAAGGGAAATTTTAAGAAAGAAAAAGGCCTTTGTTGCCATGGAGAAAGCCATAGGGATGACCACCCATCCCCCATCCCCAGCTCAATTCTACTGGCCATGATTGACCAAGGCACCTGCATCAGAGAGATGGGCAGACATCCAGAAGGCCAGTTATGGAAATAAATATCCAGGGTGTATTTTTATATAGATATTTTAAATGCACACAAGCCCAGACCCATCCTCGGCTGCTAACGTTAGTGGATTACTCATTCTTCCTCCCAATCACGTCATGTGCGAGATTCCAGGTGGCCATGGGGTATTTGCTTACGACGGCTACCGCTGGTTTCCCTGCGAGCTGTTTATTTTTCCAGGCCTCAAGTCATTACATCAGCCGGTGGTTTCTAGGCGGGCCAAGAGTGCTGGCTTGGGGGGTGGGGAATCCAGCCAGGAGGTGCAGTTGCCTCAGTGACCCCAAGTCCCAGTCATAGCAGCTATCCCAGCAGGAACTTCCTGGGTGAGGAAGAAGCAATCCAAGACGTGGCCAAATGGCCTGAAGCAGGCCTAGAAGAGCAGCACTCTGATACTGTGAACAGCTTACCTGTGACAGGTAAGGTGACATGAGAAAACACAGTCACAGTCATGCACGAGGAGGCCAGGGTGTCACTTTCATGGTAAAACTTAAAAGAAATGCATTTCCACCTTATGTCTGTGCTGATGGCTGTATCTCCAGGGAGCAGAGTCACCATGAGCTGCTCCATTCAATGATGTAGAGAAGGGAGCGCTGTGGGTCTAAGAGGCAAGGGAGGAAAGGCATGGCCCTTTCAGATTTAACTCACAGGGCCAGGGTCTAGGGCCTCCTTGAGGCCCTTGATCAGATCATGGAAGAAGTTAACTGGAAAAAAACAGGGACAAAGGAAAGAAAGAGATGACAAAACAAAGAGGGAAGTCACACCTCTCTACTCCACTTGAGGCCACAGAGTCAAGCCCCCAGGGCAGAAGGAAATGAGTGGTGGGCCTTGGGAGCATTACTTTGCTGCACAGAGAAGTGCATGAAGATATTTCCTGAGAGATTATACTTGCCCAGAAGAGAAAGGGTGGAAGTTCGTCATATAGAAACAAAGATGTAAATCAGAGCCATAGGAAAGTGCCTGCACATAGTCAAATTAGAAACATGAGAAGATGAGGTGAAGAATTAGATGAAACCTAATTCTTGTCACTTATTTCATATCTTTATCTTCTGTAACATATAGATGGTTAAAAAATATTTTAAACACTAGGTATATTAAGAAATGCCTTGGTAGCCAACCCCTGATTTAAAAAAAAAAAAAACTTAGCAAGAGTTCATATTTCCTTATAAAAGCAGAACAGAGGCTCCATCCAACACTCATCTATGGGAAGATGCTGTTCTCAAGTTCTAGCGTATTAGCTGGCCAGGTACATTGTCTTCCTGAATGCAAAAGGAATTCCTGGTGCACTGGAGATGCAATGGAGGAGAGGTTCAATGGAGGCGAGAACTGAAGAGAAGAGCAAAGAAGCAAATCTGTCAATGCTGAACCTGCCAATTACTCAAAAGGCGACACTGACTATAGTGAACACATGACAAAGCCTTAAAAACAAGGGCCAAAACTTCCAGGAGCAGAGAGGGAGACTAGGAGAGTCTGTAGGCATATGTGTCATGTTATTGCAAAACTTCAGCTGCCCAGTGGAACCTTTCCAACATCAACAATCCCCAGGCCAGAAAACAAACCTGGCGTCACAGGGTCTGAGTGTGAAAAAAGGATGTGTGGGGTGTAAAAGAAACTGGGATAGCCTTTTTGCCTCTGAGAGACAGCTGAGAAGAAGAGCTCTCACCCCGATGGGCTTCACGGAGTCCCATGGCAACCTCCCCGGGGATGCAGGCTGAAGCACACCTGAACCCAGGATCATCCATCAAACTCTAATGAAAAACTGTCTCAGGTGTTTGGCCAAAAGGCTCCAGTCCCTACCAGAGCCAAATATCCAGACATAAGTTATCATTAAGGTATATCTGACTTCTCATTAAACCAAATATGATAACATGTGACAAGTGGCTAGCAAAAGACATAAAGATATTCCACCAAGAGTCACCAGTGTTTTGTTGGGTTTAAAAAATCATTTATGGTATACCTACTATGTGCCAGGCATTACACAGATGCTCTTGAGTCCTCACAAAGAAATCCTGCAAGGCACTAAAACTTTGTTTTACATATAAGGAAATCAAGACTCAGGGAAGTTAATTAACTTTCCCAAGCTCACCAAACCTCTCAGTAGGAAGCTAGCATTGGAAACCAGGTTATAGGTTTGTCTGACACCAAAGCCCATGCTTTTGCCATTACATGGTTTATCTCCGCTACATGCAAAAGACTCCCTATCCACTACCTAAGAAAGCCAAACATCAAGATGCTTTTTTGGCAACCCGTTTGTGGGAGCATGCACCAGAACCGGACATTAAAGCTTGGAAAAGGTATGTGTGAGATGGTGAAGAGCCTTGTGAGCTGCCTCAGAGCTCCTGTGCTGATGCAGGCTTACCTGGGCATGTCAGGGAGCATCCTCCTGCCTGGACTATGAGAGGGGCCAGAAAACTTAAGTAAGACATCCCCATACACACACTCCCATCCAAATGCTTCTATTTCAATCATATATGCCAGAAGCCAGAAAGCTTTTCTGTAAAGGGTCAGATAATAAATATTTTAGGCTTTGCAGGCCATACAGGGTCTGTCACAACTATTCCACTCTACTATTTAGATGAAAATGGTCACAGACACTACACAAATATATGGCTGTGGCTGTGATCCAACCCAACTTTATTTTCAAAAGAAGGCAAGAGACCATTTGACAACCCCTGTTACAGGCCTTTGTGGCACCATATATTTTATACATAATTATATCAAAGAGATTGATAGGCATTCAGTCAATATTACCAGTTGATCAAGATGGAAAAAGTCTCAGTTGAGTAGGAGATTCCTAAGTTATCAATCTCTAACAGTTAGCCCTGGTCTCAGTTTCTCCCAGAGAACTGTTAGGTCTCTCCCAACTATCCTGTCATATACACGAACCTTACAGATATAACTGGGGTCAGCCAGAGAAAAATAAACGTGGCCAGGCCACCCCAACAAAAGGAAAGTGGATGGACCTGCCCAGAATCCATTTCTCAACATGACCCTATTCTCATCTAATTGGAGAGTAGGAATGAAAGCAGAAGAACTTCAGCGGAAGCAAAGATTATCAACTGACTTTGACCTCACCACTTTACTACATGCAGAGAATACAGCCCAAGAAGACAGGCATTCTATTCCCAAGGATAACTAGTTTTCTCCAGCCCAACCACTCCCTAGCTATGACTCAGGACAAGTTACTTCCTCTGTCTCAGCCTCTGACTCTTCATCTGCAAGATGGAGACAAGAACAATAGCTATCTCATAGGGTTATGGGGAAGCTCAAGTGAGATGACACAAATGTAAAGTTCCACAGGACCTGATAACAAAGTAGCTATTATGACAGTGCTATTCTAATTTTGATGATGATGATGATGATCTTTTCTCCTCCATCGTTCCCCAAAGCAATCAAATGCATGGGTAAGTGAAAAAGAAATTCAAGGAAACAATTGTTAAGGGCCAAGTGAGTGTTTCAGCCAAAAAAGTGCTGTATGTTATAATTCAGAGCTCACCTTCGTATCTTCCACTTGGTCACAGAATGAGAATTAACTCATGGGGGTCTTGCAGACCTTCCAGGGCCTCAGGGACTAGGAGACCAGTTGCAAATGTTACTTCCGGCACCAGGTACTACAGGCACCAAAACCACTTCTATTTGATTTATATTTGCCTAACAGGGAAAGGGGAATAGAGGGGGTCCTAAGAAGAAGCCTAATAGATGCCTTTGCTTAAGGTGACAATCATAAATTCTTTCTGATTGAAGAATTTTCAAAATAAGCACCATCATTACTATTCCCGTTATTCATACCAATAATAATGATAATAATAAATATATGTACTTACAATTTATCAGTTAGCCAGGCATCAGTTGAGTGCCATATAGACATTATCTTAGTTAACTTTTAACCATAGTCCTTTGAGGGAGAGATTGTGATTCCCATTTTGTGAATGAGAATTGAGGCTCAAAGGAATTATGTGACTTGACTGGGGTCACTAAGTGTTGGAGCTACAATGTGAACCCAGGTTTCACTAATTCCAAAGCCTGTGCTTTAACCACTGCACTATTCTGTCAAAGACTGACCCAAGGGGGTTCACAGTCTCCTTTCACTCCACCATCCCATATCTCCAACTTTTATCAGTGAACAGACACATGAAAAGGCAATGACCAGCCCAAGTCACAGAGGAACTCAACTGATGGCGTGTGAATTCACCTCCTGGTCTATATAATTCCTTGCATTCTAATGCCACATCGCCACCATTAGGACAGAGCTGGTGAACAGGTCAACTTAAAGGGGACCAATGACAGGACACTCATTAATTGATTGTCATGTAAAATTCTGCCTGCTGGTTCAAAGTCATATATCTTTTGTTCATAGTCTTGCCACCTATAAGGAAAAGAAGATAGGGCTAAATTCAACAACCAGGCATAAATTATGCAGAGTGGTATTTCGCATAATGAAGTCTTCGGTTGAAAAGATGATCCTCCTTGATAGAGATACAGATTTCGCTTGTGAACACATTTTCCTGTTGATGAACATTCAGTCTTTATTGATAGTAAATAGACTTTACTGACTCTGGTCTTTATTGTTATTAAATAGAGTCTACAAAAAAATCCTACAAATATGATCACCCCTCAAAAATTATCACTTTCTACAGAGGGTTCAGCCAGTGCTCAAACTTGACCACTCACAAGACCCCCTACCAAAAGATCAGACCAGAGAAGACATGACTGTAAGCACCTATTTAGAGCCTTCAAAACACACAGAATCGACTCCCTCCAGGCTTGAAGTCCAACTTCTTTATGTCCAGTCATTCTTTCAAATTCTTCTGCATGGCATATGGAAAGTTAACCAAAATATTATAATATACAGTCAAAGAAATTTGTTAAGAGGATCAACGACCTAAGAAAGATGATCTCTGAGATGATAATTGAAGAAAATTAAAGTTGGAAGGGATTAACTTATCCAATCTCTTTATTTTATAGCTATAGAAATTGACAACCAGACAGATTAAATGATTTTTCCAAACCCACACAATAAGTAGTCACAGAACCACGGGGCAAGGAAGGATGGACTGGGTACATATATAATCCAAGGAAGGTTATTTACCTGAATTTCTTATGTTGGTGTTGTTCAGTTTGGAGTCCTTGATCACCAAGTGTTTAATCCATAGAGTTGGGGCTGTGATTTCTAGGGGTGAGGAAAAGGAGAGAGAAAAAGTCTGGGCAAAGAGACTATGTGAGTGGAAGTGTAACCTCAGACTTCTTAATAGTCATTTTTCAAAGTCTGAGGCATTGAGGCTTCAGCTCTCTCCCACATCCACTCCTCCCAGTTCCCCTCCCTTCCTCACAACGGAAGCTTCTCTCCCCAACAGCTCATAAGAGCCGATCAGGGCATCCTGTGCTGGGAAGCAGAGTGGTCAGAATGCAGAGGCACTGAGCACTCCATCCAGGAATAAAAATATTATCCCAGGAGGTAAGGAACATGGGCCAAGCCAAGTCCCTCTCAGCTGCTTCCCTGGGAGAAGATTTAAAGGGGATAAATCAACAAACGAACGCCAAACAAACCACAGAGACCATTCTAGGGGAAACGGCTGAGCCGAGATTGCTCCAGGTGGGAAAGAAAGGAGTGCGTCTCATGTGTGCTTCAATCCCCTTTCTAATGGCTTCTCATGCGCAGAGGCTGAATTCCTCCATCAAGAGAGTGCCAGGGTGCCTCCAGCCTCTCCAGGATTTGGTCACCCAGTGGACAGATGGGAATCCTAAGTGACCTGAGCATACTGTGGAGTGACCTTCAATGAGGGTATTGGGGAGGTCTCCCAAGATGAGACAGTCTCCATCCCTCACCTGACCCCCCAGGGTCCCAGACTTGTCAATGATCCAGGACCTTTGTGGATCACAGAGACATCTACATCTAAACTTTTAGACATGAACATACAAAACTTCCCATAAGTGAGCTGATTGCAAAGGATATTGCACATTTCAATCCTCCTCAGAGCTAAGCTTGTGCTAGGGACATCCATAGCCACAGTGTTAACCCGTGGCATGATTTCTTTTTATTCTTCTGTCACTCTGCCCAGTCTCATGATCCAGGGCTGGATACGCTTAGCTAGGAGCTGCTCAAAGTTTGCTACATATTGCACTAAAATCCCAACCTTATTGTCATACTTTAGAGACTTCACTCTGCCAAACTTCCAGTTCCTCATCAAGGGAATATGGAGTACTCAGTACAGTAAACTTTAGAGTACAGGCCCTGAGCACCTCCAACTTGAACCTCCTGCACCCCGCACTCCTATCCTCTCTCTATGCCTCCAGAGACTTCCAGCCTCTCTTTTGCCACCAGCCACAATTTCTCTTGACCTAGAATTTCTCCTCTCCAAAATGTCCTGCCTCAACTCTCAACGTCCCTACAACCTACACAAACCAGTCCCACTGGCCAATCTCCTTCCTGCAACTTTCCTCACTGTATCCCATCCCTACCTCATTCCCCTCTTGTCCATGCCAGCACCCTGCCTGGAACACTCAGACTCCTCCCCACCACTTTCAAGATCCAGCTCAAGTCCTGGCTCTTCACAAAAGCTTTTCCCAGACCATGGTGATCTCTTTCTTCCATAAATGTCTATGACAATAAGAACGGAGACCCCGTAATTTAAAGCACTCTAAGAGTTGCAGCTGTCTTGAGAGCAAAGGTTTACATCTCCAAACCTCCTTTTCATCCCCCAGAGGGGCTCACACAGTGCCAGGCACAGAGTGGACACTTGCAAGTGCCAATTAATTTACTGAAGGGACACTGCCGGCCTGACTATCTTTCTCAGCTGTGATTCCTGGGTCTTGGCAGCTCCAAGGGTCTGTCCAGGCTGTGTTATTGTTGGACACCAGGAGACAGGCAGGAAGCCTGAGAGAACAGAGGGCCCTTCCAGAAGTGGAGAGTGTACCAATTCCTGGGAGGATCTGCATTTTTTAAAAAGGTTAAAACAACCCAGCTTACACTGGGAAAAATTGAAATTAAAAAAGAAAATAATAATAATAAAACTTAAACAAACATCCAACGTTAAGACTTTTCCCAAACCTGAAAATGAGTGGGAGAATGAACATCAGAAGTAATGCAAGATCTTACCATCTCCATCGAACACCGGCTGGGTCTCCATCGTGGGTGTCGGCTTAGACCCGTCATCTGAATTGAGGGTTAAAAAGAATCGAAAGGAGACTACCATTATTGAGGTAAATACTATCTACTCTCCAGCACTGTTGAATGGTTGGGGTTTGTACAAGGCCCGGCCAAGTCCCAGTGAAGAGAACAAAGAAAAAGAAACAAAAGAAGAAAAGGGCAAGAAGGAAAAGAGAACCATAGAGAGACAAAACAACAAAACAAATCCAGGTGTGTGTTCACCATCCCAAGGCATGGACGAAAGGAGTTAAAGCTTCGTGGCTTTGGGGGACCGTTTCTCACAAATCTGAGGATACCAGTATGACTCTGCTGGCCCTTGTTCCCGCAGGAAAACTGGGAGGCAGTATCTCCCCCTCAGCCCTGAGTTATGGCCAGGCATGTTAGCATAAGGTTGGCAATCCTTATGGCATCAAATTATGGTGTCCCCAGCTCCTTTCCTGCCCTAAAGCTACCAGCTCAGTGGCCCTGATTAAAGAGCTCAAGGAAAACAAGAGACCTGTGTGCCATTCCCTTCCAATCTCCTCACTGTTTCTCCACTTTCACCTAAAACAGATAAGAAGGCAGGAAGAACCATTCTCTCTCCAGCACACGGAACTGAAGAGAATCAGGAATCATTAGAATGCTTCTAACTGTGAAATAGCAAACACCCCAATTCCCAATAAGAGGGAGGGCAAGCAAAATGGGAGAGGACATGGGACTTTGCAGAAATCACCCTAGACTTGCTTTGAAATTTCTAACATAGATGATTGGAGCAGGGAGCTCCCAGTAACAAAGTCCTAATGCTTATCATTCTAATAGTGTTGGCAGTCCTCTCTGCACAGCAAGAACCTCTGCAGGTCAGGAGTTAGTGCAGACTTTATTTACCTTCCAGGACTCTGAGTTCTTTCATCAGGGCCCCAAAAACCTTAGCTTATAGCAGTATTTCTCAACCTTTTTTCCATTATCACTCATCTAAGGAGCATTTTTAGGTAATTTTTTCCTAATCATCTCCCTAATAAAATTTTAATAATGCAAAGAAACAGTATATATATTTGTGCTTCATATGTAAAATGAGTGTTTTTCATCCCCTAAGAAATAATTTTACCCCCTTAGAGAAGGCTTGGAGAGGGTATCTTTGTCCCTCTTAAGGTTATATAGTTTAAGAGATTTCTCTCCACGGGGGGAGGGAAGGAGAGCACTGTTGTCTCAGGCGGTTTGATGATTACACCATCCCTCTCTTCTCAAGACCCCTTAGAGGTCTTTTAGGATGGAACACTATATTCTCTGAGCATTAACTATTTATGCAGATTGCAAGTTCTCAGATAGTCTCTGTGACGCCAGTCAGATCATCAATAATAACAACCCTCTACCATTTGGAGCTCTCAGTACCTTTGGCCGACTTTCGTGCATCTTATTGGGGGAGGGAGAGAGAATACAGAGTCCTGATCTCCTTTTTGCATCAACATCTCACCCTTGGGAGCTTAAGATTCAAGAGCTATGGAGACTCTAACCCTTGTTAGAGGCTGAGGCCAGCAGCTGAGCTGACAGTCGGGTGACACCTGACCCTGATATTATTCTCATGTACTGACACCAAGACCCAACTCTTGCAGAAGCCAAAGTGATCCTGAATTATCTGACAATCATCCCAAGAAATGAGATGTAGCAGGAAGAGAAGAGTATCTATGCTGGATATACTATTTGCCTCAAACTGGAGTCCAAAACAGGCATCTTTTGATGCCAAACTGTGTGAGTTTGATCTGGAAGTCTTTGAGGGAGAATAAACACAGAACAGAGCCACACAATGTCATTTTTTTAATAGCATCACTTCCCCTGACTCTATTAACACCTCTTTCCATTGAATTCAATGAGCCACTGAATTGAGTCTTTTGGCAGCTGCAATGCACATTTGGTTGTGCCTGCCAGATACAGAGTTCACAGTCTAAATAGTCCAGCACAGTGTGCTCAGCCCTTCCACACAGGGTGGCTTCATTTTAGGAGTCTTACAGGCTAACAAAGGGAAAGTGAAAAATCAAACATTCCAGGAGGGATGATAATGAGAACTCAAGTGCATATGGCTTATGTAATATTTTAATATTCAATGTAGGTATGAAAATCCTCCCATATTACAAGAACTGTATCTCTTCTCTGGAGCAAGACAACTGAAAACATTCTGTTTATTTCTCCCATCATCCAGATGAAAATCTTGGACTGCCCATCGGGCCCAGCCATCAGCAAAGAAGGTCTGCACTCAAGGAGGGCAAAAAGGTTTTTTGGGGAAGCTTTGCCCTTTTGCAGGTCAAGGACCTCCACAGATTTCCCAGATGTAGTCAGAGAAGCCCATGAGGCATAAAGCCACTTGCAGGGAAGGAATCTTCCTGCAGGGTAGGGTCACTGAGGGTGAAGAGATACAGCTGCTCTGCCACGGGGAGGTCCTAAATGGAAATCTTTATGAAGTGAGAAAAGACAAGATGCCCTGCTGCCAGGAATCACCTGTGACATCCAGCATGCTCAAAGGCTGGGAAGCCAAGCCAAAGCGAACAGCACCCTCTAACCATCATCTCCGGGCACCTGGGCTCCTGGCTTCTGACCCAGCAAATAAGAGCACCTCTTCTACCAAACACAAGTCCAAGGCCTAGGTCCAAGGTCTACATCAGTTCTGCTTCCAGGCAAGCCCTGGAGCAACACCAGGCCCCACACTGGGCACTGGGGAGAGAACAAGGTTTCTATATGTGCTCCTGCCTCCCAGTCTTAAGGGGAGTCACACTCCAAATCCCCCTTCACATGTAATAAGTTTACTCTGGATAAGTTGAGCCCCTCCTTTTACTTCTCTGGATAGCAATATCCTCTTCTAAAATTGAAGGATACCTGCCTACAAAATCTCGGGACACTTTTTTGTGTAGGTGTAAAACACTTTAAAGGCCCACTAAAGGGCATCTATAATTCCATGAGTGCAAACCATCTTATTCAACTGCTTACTTTTAAAATTGGGTTTACAAAATTAAAATCCTATCAAAGTTTTTAAATTGAAAATAAGGTAAACCTTACAACTCAATAACAAGCAACCTTATTTAAATATGGACAACATATTTTGACAGACATTTCACCAAAGAAGAGATACAGATGGCTAATAAATACATGAAAAGATATCCAACATTGTTAATCATTAGGAAGGTACAAATTAAAACCACAACAAGATACTTCTAAACAGCCACTAGAATGGCTAAAATAAAAAGATAGACAATATTAAGTGTTGGTAAGGATGTGGAGGAAATGGAACCCTTGTTCATTGCTGGTGAGAATGTACAACTGGGCATCCACTTTGGAAAGGAGTTTGACAGTCTCTTTAAAAAGCTAAACATCAACTTTTAACCCCAAAATTCCACTCCTAGAATCCATCTAGGAGAATAAAAACATGCCCACACAAAGACATGTATAGAAATATTCACTGCAGCATTATTCATTAAAGCTTCAAACTGAAAACAATCCAAATGTCTGTCCACTGGTGAATAAATTGTGATATATCCATATGATAGCATACTATTCAGCAATTAAAAGGAATGAATTACTAATACATGTGACAATGTAGATGAAGAATCTCAAAGACATTATGCTAAGTATAAAAATCCAGATGTAAATACCACATGTTGTATGATTCCATCTATATGAAATGTCTAGTAAGGCTACATCTATAGACACAGAAAACAGATCTGGGGGTGCCTAGAGCTACAGGTAGGAGTAGAAAATACCTGTGAATGGGTTCAAGGTTGCTTTTTGGGGTGATGGAGATGTTCTCTGGTGACAATTGTACAACACTATGAATTTATTAAATTCATTGGGTTGTATATTTACAATGAGTGAATTTTACGGTATGTAAACTATACTTCAATAAAGCTGTTAAAACAAAAAGGGAGGTGTGCCCAAGTCATCACAAATAAATCATGAGGCAGCAGCAGCTAGATTATTTGAGTGGTCCTTAATTTGGGGGAAGACTCTTCCACTGTTTTAAAGAAAAATGTATGTGAATCTGTATATGCATGTGATGATGTTTGGTGTATATTCTTCGTGATTCTTTTGGACCTCAGAGAGTATTTCTCTTTAATACTATAATAATCTTCCATATTAAAAGGAAGAGGATAAACACTGAAAAAAAAAAAGCCAATTCAAAGATTATCCTTTTTCTTACAGGGAGGGAGAAAAAAGGCAAATTTGGAAACATGAAAACAAACAACAAATAAGGCAAACTGAAAGAATTCTCAAGGAGGATGTCAAGAGCAACGGTAATAATAGTATTACCACACTTTGCAACACTCAGTTCCTGGCAGGTAGCTTTCCTCATCTATTCTCACCACCAGCCAGGGCGGAGGGAGAAACCAGGCAGATAAAAAGAGAATTGAATAACAATGCAAGTAAGTGATTTGATCAAGGTCCCAGAGGCAGCAAGCAGCTTTGGAAACTGCCTGGTCCCAGAGCCCTGGCATTTGGCCTCCGGAGATTCCCCAACCCCCAGTCACGCCTTGTCCTTGCAGGTGCAGCCCCAGAAAGTTGCAGCCCCCGCATGGGCTCTGTGAGCCTATACAGACAGTGGGTTTGTGTGACAGCACAATTCCTTGCCCTGCGAGAAGGCCTGGCCCACGCACAGACAGCTGGAAGTCACTTCGACCCCCGATGACACCGTTCAAAGCCTCCTCTGTTTGGCTTTTTGATTCCTGATTGACATTCGCTGGCGAGGAGAGATAAATGCCAGGCTGAGGACAATGTTGATCCGCTCAGACTATTCTCAGGGAAAGACTTTTCAGAATAACAAACAAAACAAAACAAAAACCCAAAAACATTGGTGTGCTTAAGGGACTGAATAGAGCCCAAGAGGTCCAGGGACGCAGGGCCAGGCCTTTCAAGGGGCTGGCAAGTCCATTGAGGAGTTAATTGTTTGGGTGTACAATGAGTTTATTCTGGCCACATACAAAGAGCTTTCTCTTCCAGGTCCTTCAAAAGCAAATGTCTCAAAGGAGCCAGAGGAGGAATCTGTATTAATGGCATCTCTTGGGGTCTCTGAGACTGAGAAGCCTTGGAGAATGAGGAAAAAAGAAACCACTTCCCCCATTCTGAGATGTGGAAGGTCTGTCAACAATCCCAAGTCCCCTTCAATTCTTGGGCTCTCCCCAAACCATGTCCATCACTGGTGACCCTCCCTCATATTCTTTCAGGCTGCCATTGTCCATCTTTGAAAAAGACATGGAGATAAACTTCAGCCTGGTAGAAGTGCTCGAAGGTTCTTGCTTTGAAGGGACCACATTTATGCCAGAGCCACCATCCCCCTCCACATGTGATTCTGAGGCTCAATGTGGAAGTGGAGACAACTCATTCTGGGCATCGTAAGGAGACAACAGTGTCTGTTTGCAAAAGTCCCTTAAGAGCCTGCCCTGAATCAGACCCAGAGGAGGATGGAATGCTAGGCCACCTCAACATTTCCTGAGATGCATGCGCCATGACCAGCGAGGCTCAGAAATGGATGGTGAACTGTCCTGATTCTGATCTGTAGGAGCAGAAGTGGTCGGGCATGTCAGGTTCTTTCCAAAGCAGGAGGTCAGTGTTTTATATTCCGTATACCTACCTGCATGTTCCCTCCCAAAAGAAGTGAAAACAAGCTGAAAGCTGCCTTTTTGCAGGCAGTTCTCACATCCTTGAGCTGAAGAAGAGCAAAAACAGAAGGCTGGGGAAAAGGCAAACTGGGGACAGAAGAGGAAGAGGAAGCACCGGCAGCAGAGGAGCCTGGTCAGGGCTGGGTTCACACAGAAGACTCGGCTAATGTTTTTTTAACTTTTTATTTTGAAATGATTATCGATTCACAGGAAGTTGCAAAGATAATACAGAGAGGTCCTGTGTACCCCTCACCCAGTTTCCCCCAATGGTAACGGCTTTATAGTTAGCATAATGATATGGGTAAGCTCTTTAATTATCTGGGTGGCATAATTAGTACAAAATCAAAATCGGGACACTGATATTCATATAATCCATGGACCTTATTCAGATTCTACCAGTTTTAAATGCACTCATTTGTGTGTATCGTTCTCTGCAATTTTATCCACGTGTAGACTCAGGTAACCACCACCACCATCAGCCTAGAACTATTCCATCAGCACAAAGATCTCCCTTGTGCCACTTTTACTGTCACACTTTCCCTCCTCCACCCCATTCCTCACACCTGGCAACCACTAATCTGTTCTCCATCTCTATAATGCTGTCATTTCTAGACTGTTATATAAATGGAATCATGCAATATACAACCTTTTGAAATGGGCTCTTTTCATGTTGCATAATGCCCTTGAGATCCACTCAAGTTGTGGTTGCATATATCAACAATTCATTCCTTTTTATTGCTGAGTATTTTTCCAGGGTATAGATGGATAGGGGATCCCACCTTACTCACAGCAGATACCTTCCAAGACCCCCAGTGGATGCCTTCAACCGCGGATAGAACCGAACCCTATACATCCTGTTTTTTCCCCATACATACCTATGATAAAGGTTTATTTATAAATTAGGCACGGTATAGATGAACAATAATAACTAATAATAAAATAGAATAATTATAACAATGTACTTTTATAAAAGTTATATGAATATTGTCTATCTCTCAGAATATCTGATTGTACTGTATTCATCCTTCTTCATTTTGCAATCTATCCACTTGATAACAGAGCTGGCCCCAAGTCACAGGGAGGGTACACAGCATGGGTATGCTGGACAAAGTCATGATTCACATCCCAGATGGGAGGGAGCAGGACAGTGTGAGATTGCATCACACTACTCAGAATGGCTCACAACTTAAAACTTACAAATTGTTTATTTCTGAAATTTTCCATTGAATATTTTCAGACCATGGTTGGCCGTGGGTAGGGCAGTACTACTGTGCCACAGTTTGTTTCATCCACTGAAGGACATTTGGGGTTTTTTTTCTACTTTCAGCTATTACAGATAAAGCTGCTTCTTGTTCGTGTACAGGTTTTTTGTGTGTGTGGCCATAAATTTTCATTTCTCTGGAATAAATGCTCAGGAGTGCAACTGCTGGATTATATGGTATATGTATGTTTAGTTGTTTTTCAGAAACTTCCAAAGTATTTTTCCAGTGTGTCTGTACCATGTTATTCTTGCCAGCGATGTATGAGAGGTCCAGTTTCTCGGCAGCCTCACTATCATTTGGTGTTGACACTACTTTTTCTTTTAGCTCTCCTAATAGATATGTAGTGACATCCTGCCATGGACTTATTTTGCATTTCCTGTGGCTAATGATGCTGAGCCTCTTCTTGTGTGCATATTTGCCCTCTGTTTGTCTGCCTTGGTGAAATTGGTGAAATGTCTATTTGTGCATTTGGCCAATTTCTTTCTTTTCTTTTTTTTTTTTCTTTTTTTGAGACAGGGTCTCACTCCATCACCAAGGCTGGAGTGATGATCTCGCTTGCTGCAACCTCCACCTCCTGGGTTCAAGTAATTCTTCTGCCTCAGCCTTCCGAGTAGCTGGGATTACAGGTGCACATCACCATGCCTGGCTAATTTTTTGTTTTTGTTTGTTTGTTTGTTTGTTTGTTTGAGATGGAGTCTCGCTCTGTCATCCAGGCTGGAGTGCAGTGGCGCGATCTCGGCTCACTGCAACCTCCACCTCCTGGGTTCAAGTGATTCTCCTGCCTCGCGGCCTCCTGAGTAGCTGGGATTACAGGCACGTGCCACCATGCCTGGCTAATTTTTGTATTTTTTTTTTTTTTTTTAGTAGAGATAGGGTTTCACCATGTTGGGTAGGCTGGTCTTGAACCCCTGGCCTCAAGTGGTTCATCCACCTTAGCCTCCCGAAGTGATGGGATTACAGGTGTGAGCCACCATGCCAGGCCACCATTTTCTAATTAAACTGTTTTTTAGCTGCTAAGCTTTAAGAGTTGTTTATATTCTCTAGATATGAGTCCTATGTTGGATAGACGGTTTGCAAATATTTTTTCTCAGGCTGTAGTTTTTTCTTAATTCTCTAACAGCACTTTTTGCAGAGCAAATTTTAAAGTTCAACTTATATATATTATCTTCTAGATTATGTTTTTGGTGGTGAAGATTTTCTCTTGTTTTCTTCTAAAAGTTTTAATAGCTTCACATTTTACATTTAAGTCTACGATCCATTTTGAATTCATTTTCATATCAGGTCTGAGGTTTAGGTTGAGGCTTTGGGGTCGATTTGTTAATTTTATTTGTTTGGTCTGTGGATGTCCAATTGCTAGAGCACCATTTGTTTGTGGATCTGTTTCTGGGTCCTCTATTCTGTTCCATTGATTCATGCATCTGTTACTCCACAAATACCACACTATCTCTAGAACTCTAGCTTTATTCATCTTAAAATCAGATAAAATGGTTCCTCCCACTTTAGTTTTCTTTTTCAAAATTGTTTCAGCTATTCTAGTTCCATTGCCTTTCCGAAGAAACTTGAGAATAATCAGCCCTTGAATCTCACATCTTTCTTTCTGCAAGCACAGGATCACTGCAATGGAACCTGAGAGTGACAGTTCCTCGGCCTTTACCACACGAGTTCTGTGGCCCTCTGAGCTGGAGACCAGGGGTCAGAAGCAGGCCCAAGGCCTGTCCACCTATGTGCCCATATCCCTACCTCTCTGCAAGCTGCTGTGCCACACTGGAACTTAGGCCGGGAGCAGGGAGCAAATGAACATACTCTCATTGGCCTGACAAGCTCTGAGCCCTCTCACCTGGACTTCAGTGGCCCCACAAAGGCACTAGTCAGAGGGCTCAGGAACCTGGCAGAGGGCTTTGCTCAGCTCAGGCCACCCGCTCCAAGGGGCTTTCCTTAGAGGCTCTGGCTACAGGAGCTACCACACAGGGTTGTTTGGAGGGGCCACCTGCCTTCCCTCCCCTGCAGAGGTGGCAACTTCCCAGAGCTTACAGAAGCCTGCTGCTCCGCTGGAGGTTTTCCTCCACCTGAAGATGAATAACCTCCATCATAAAAGGCTAAGAACAATTAGAATGTGAGCTCCAGGAGGTGAGGCCTGGACTCGTACTGTTATACTCATCCCTGGGTCCTTAGTGACGATAACAAGCCTGACATTTAGTAAGTTCTCCATAAATATTTGCTGAGTAAAAGCACCAAGCGTAAAATATCAATGGTTACTAATAACACCAGGGATTCAAATGAATTTATGTCTAAGAGGCTTTTTCCAGATCCCTAAATCTTATTCTCTCTCCAATCCTTGGAGATGAGGATATGGCAGGAAATCAAACTCTCAGTCTAGTGCTGTTCATGCATAAACTTTTCTTCAGAGACCCTGGAATACGGGCCAAAATGGAGGCGGTTGAGTAGCTGGAGCCAAGCTGGCGGAGCAGTTAGCTATGGGAAGGAGGGAGACATGGTACATGTGTGAGCATGCAAGCACACCCCTTCTGAAACTGACCTCTGCGAAGCTGGTATATGAACATTCCAGGCTTGGTGGAGGCGGCTCGGAGAACCAGAAAGCAAACGAGCTGCCTCTCTCAGGCTTGGAGCTGCTCAGGCACAGTTCTGTTTCAGCAGGCACAGAATCAGAGAGAATCCTTCTCCAAGAAAAGCCATGTGAGCAGAAGCCAACAGCATGGAGGTCGTCAGCTGCCCATCTCCATTCAAACCCAGCCCAGCCCACCTGATGGCAATGCTAAGAGATCAGCTACAGATTCAGCCTCCCATACCCCCGTGGTTGCTAGGGGAAGAGAAAAAAGAGGTAGTCGGGAAGAGATTTAAGTCATGTGAGCAGGAGTGACATTTCACATGTGGAATGTCCCTCGACAGCCAGCCCAACACGGCTCTGCCAGGCTCAGGGCAATGAAGCACCCCTCCTTCAGGTGTGTTAACACCTTATGAGGGCTGAGGCTGGGGGGCCACCCAGTCCCCTTCGTCTGGGATGTTTGCCAGCCATTGCCTCTGTCCTAAGCCTGCCCCTCAGAGCTGCTCCATCCATTGCTTGAGTGACAAGGTCTCCAAGTTGGCAACAACCTGTAGACCCAGCTCTAAAAATAGAGATACAGACAGGGACCTTGGAGAAATAAATATGACTCACTCTTTACTTGGAGCACATACTATGGAACAGCCAGTGGGAGATCTTCTTTTTAAACTCTGAAAATTAAAGCTGGGTTGGATTTTTGAAGTTCTGCCCCTCTCCAAGACTAGCTTGACAAATACAGAAGCCCATGCAGAAAAGTTTAGCAGAGTATATTAGTATTTTTATTTTTCTCTTGCTTTCCTTAAACAACTAACTCCCAGACTTCTTATGGGAAAAATGCAAACCGCAGAAAATTCCTGGTGACCCTAAACTTTCACTTGCCATTTATCACAGCATCACCCCATGGCCTCTGATGCTCTGGGCACTCAGAAGTCAAAAGCTCACAGAGAACTGCCAGAAATCATTTCACAAGTGCTTTTCCATATCCTTTCATTTAATCACTCTTCACCACTGCCCCCCTTCACCCCACCAGAGGCTAAGAACTTCCTTCCCTCCTTGCACTTCACAAGCAATGAAGGGCAGGGCCAGCCCCTGAACCTGTGTTCAGTTATCCTGGAAGCTCCTCAAATCACCTATGGTAATTAGCATTGAGACCCCAAAAAGAGTCACATCAGAAAAATCCATAGGCCTTGGTACAGCCAGGTAAAGCTGCTGCAGGATAACTTCTTGATCTCTGAAACCATTCTGCTTCCAATCTACTTTCCTTTGGATGACTCCAGTGAAAACCAAAACTTTACCTCTATCTCTACTTCTTCAGCCTTCAACTGTTTTAGCAGTGCATTTTCAGAGCTAAAGGGGCTGTTTGGGGCCCTCTTCCTCTCTTCTGATATTCCTCTGTAGCATCCATAAAACACATGTGAATGCACATGTGCACCGTCCCCCTCTCCCACACACACAACACACACACGTCTCTCTTTAAGGGCCAGGACCAAAGGAGAAGAAGGGGAGGGGGCAGCCAGGATGGGATTGCCCCAGATCAATGGATATTTGAAACTCAAACACATGGTCCAGGACCTACACTGCATTTGTTAATTACCACACATGTGCCCATAAAGGAGTTCGTTAAACACAAGGGGCCCAAAGAACAGAGTGAGGAAAGGACATTCCAAGGGATTAAGTAAATAGTCTGAAGTTTTGACCCTCCTCCCCTCCTGGAGCACGTGCATCTGGGTAAGATAACAGTGTCTCCCCCTCCTTCCCCCACTTCTTCCCTGGGGCCCCACACCTGTGGATCCAGGAGCCACAGCCACTCAGGCCTCCTGTCTTAGACCAAACGGCTGTGACCACCCAGCCTCTCTCTCTCCTCCCTTCCTCCTGCCATCTCTCTGGGCCTCCTCCCCCAGCCTCCTTCTGCTCTGCCTTTCTCCTCCTCTCCTTCAGAGAACTAATTCCTGGCTGGCGACCAGACTCTCCGTGGTCACACAATACATCTTTTCATTCCTTCCAGCCTGGGAGGGACAGCCGATCCCTCCCAGCCCGGTCAGTGGAGGATATTCAAAAAGGCAAGAGGCTAGGGAAAGAGAAGGCTGGGTCCCGGGTCCCGTCCTTGCCCTGCCATCCCCCACCACTCACACCTCCAGACCTCTGGCCCCACCTCTTTTCTGGCCATATCCATCACCCTGCACAAGGGTGCAGACCCAGCACCTCTTTGCAGCAGGCCTCAGGGTAATAGATGCCTCCTATGAGAAGCCATGTGCGGGCACAAGCTCAGACAAGGGGCCTTTGTGTCTTCCCACCTGCTGCCTTCCAGAGCACATTCCATTCTTAAGTGGCAGCTGAAAGAGGAACCTTGGCTAGTCGACACAGGATATTACTAATGCCCTCTCGCACCCTGTCCCCATTCAAACCCCAGCTTCCTGGACAGGTGTGGCTTCAGGTGTGGCGTCCTACAGGTGGCCCGAACCTGCTCTTCACTGCGCTGCCCATAGCAGACAAAGAGAAGAGGATCCAACACCTAATCAGATCCTTCAAAGTACAGGGAAAGAGAGGCCACTAAATAGGATTTAAGACTCCAGGGGAGAATGAGTCCTAGCATTCCCCACCAGAGCCTTGTCCTGACCTTTGCACCAAAGAGGAAGCCTCTGCAGAGCCATCTTGGAGGAAGGGACCCATCGAGGGCAAGGGAGTAAAGAGCTGGGAACTGAGAGCAGCTTATCCCTCTGAGATGAAGGCTTCAGTTTCTATCCCCCATTTCCTGCATCGCCCCTGGAGGAACCAGGCTCCTCTACCCTCTTTTGGCTCTGGAAGCTGACCCTAGAGCTAAAAAGGAACAAATGGTACTCACTGCTTGACTGTAAAAGGGAACAAAGGGTGCTCACTGTTGACTGTAAACTGACATCCCCAGCCACCCTCACCCCCCCACTTCCAGCTGGACCAGTGAGAGCCTGGGATGACCATGGGTCTGTCTGTCATTGTTGTCCACAGGGTGCAAAGCCACATCCCCCTGGAAAGCACTTCTTGTCCAGTTTAAGAACCAGAATCCCATGGCTGGCAGTTGTTTAGTGTGTGTGCACTTTATTCAGCATCATACAATCAGCTCCCTTTGGAGGAGGGGAATCTGGGTGGTCAGTTTTGCATGATTGACAATTTTTCTTTCCTACTACCAGGACCTCATGCCCAGGAATAAAGGTGATGTTCCTGAAGATTTCCATTGCAACAGGCAAAACTAAAAGCAGTGCATGCCTGTAGTCCCAGCTACCTGGGAGGCTGAGGTGGGAGAATTGCTTGAGCCCAGGAGTTTGAGGCAAGCCTAGGCAACATAGTGAGATCTTGTCTCTAAAAGATAAAAATTAAAAATGCTCTGCTAGAAAAAAAACAACACACACACACACACGCAATAGAAAACTTGAAGGCATCTTCCTTTTCCAATCCCAGTAAACACACACTACTCACAGCATTGGTGATTTCAGGTCTTTGTAGATTCTCTCCCCACTTTCCCACCTAGGAGGGAACCACCCACACTTATGGTAGTCTCCTCATGCCCTGGGAAGGACCTGAAGAAGCACTTACTTCCCTTTCCAACCACTTTCTCATTTTTGCCCAGGGAAAGAGCAGTAGCCCATCTGGCCCATTGGTCCCTGTTTTCTGGTGGGTGGTGGTATCACCTGTTCCACTTCCACATCTTCTTGGAGCACCTGCATTTGGGGGCAGCAGGTTCTCCAGATCCTTATCTCCTGCATTCAGAGTGGGTGACTTCGCCTCTTCTTCCCATCCCATGGCATAAGCACTGGAGGCAGGGCCCAGGGCTTTACCTTGGTCTCCCTGCAACTGTGTGTGCAGGACAAGCCTGTGAACTTCACAATGACCCTCAGCAAGCCCAAGGCTCCACGTGGGCCCTGATGAGCATGTAGTTTCCAAGGCCTAGATGCAGGTGGGAAGCCCCAAACTCAGCCTGAGATGGGAGTCCTGGAGAGGCTGCACACGAGATGAAATGCACACTTGCTTTCCATTCAACTACCAGCTCTGCACATATGCTGTCCTGGAGGTCAGTGGCAGTGAATCTTAAGCCTCCAACTGTCTTCCATGCTAAAAACTATGGTCAGCATATTCCAGGGACCTATGGCTCATGTTGGCTTGTCCAATAAACAGCCCTCAGACAGATGCCAGCTACGTCACTTGTGGGGCCCAGTGTAAAGTAAAAATGCAGGGCCTTTCATTCAAAAAGCAGGGAAAAGTGCCATTAAAGGCACTAAAATACAAAACTTTGTCCTTTATTCCATAGTCTCTCTCTCTTACCTTGTCACGGTGTTATTTTAATTTGCTACTTAGTATTGTCCTAGATAAAGAAAAATTAAAATTTTAAGCATGCTATGGAAGCCACATAGTACACCTCACAAAAGCTTTGTGCTAATGAGGTGACAAGGTTCAGCAGACACTCATATGACGTGTCTCTCCTCCACTCACTCGCATCTTCACTGTCCCATCAGACTCAAAGACAGAATTATTCAGAATTTCAGGATAGCAACTGCACAGGTCGCATGCCCACAAAGCCAGCCTCGCCTTAGTGAAGAGAATCTGGATGTGCTGGGACAATTATGAAGGAGCATCAGCGAGGGGGGAAAAATGCCCAAATGTGCTTACACAACAAGAGAGCCAAGGGCAGACTTGGGCACCCTACCTTCCTCATCCTCTCTGGTTTAATGCTGGCTACACTGGTAGTTGATTGACCGAGCTCCCCAGGGAACCAATATTCCTAGGGCTCACATTCTAAAGGTGCTTCCCAGCTCTGGGCTCTATACTCAGTCACCTCCCTTGGGAAATCTGGGAGCTTGGTGTCCATCACTGTATGAGCCTTACTTACCTCGGGTGCTTCAGAGAGGAAACATGGAATAAGAATGGAGAAGATGTTCTGCGGGACACCTTAGGCTTTCACCCCAGGCTCCTTCTATCTCATCTAAGAAATCCTGCTTGGACCACCTTTGGAAGCAAACATTTAGATAAAGCATAAAACTCCACTCACCTTTCCTTCCTGAGTTACCCTGGCTCAAGGGCTTGTCGGTGACTGAACCTTGGGTGAGAAGGGAAACAAAAACATAGCCACTCAGAATGCATTGTGGTTGGTTTCTTTCTAAGAGTTGGCAAAACCTGATGTTATGAGCATATGGTCATGTATATATGTATTGTATACACATCTAAGGATATTATATACAATGTTAGTACATATACACATGTTGAGTGGGGTTTGTTTAACATCAATGTCACTGATAACCCAGCACTGTTAAGATGAACTATGATTTCTAGGTTCCCTGGAAACAGTCTTGACCACATTTTTACAAAATTCCACACTCATATAACTCCCTAGTTGAATATTCCAATATCTGCCCCTCACCTTTACACCCCCATCTCCCCAACTTCTCACCAGTTCCATGTT
The DNA here is from genome assembly GCF_000001405.40 of Homo sapiens. Lineage (NCBI taxonomy): Eukaryota > Metazoa > Chordata > Mammalia > Primates > Hominidae > Homo > Homo sapiens. The sequence continues at coordinate 69,977,554 of NC_000014.9, read as the reverse complement.
TGGAGCCATATTCAGTCAGCAAGGCCAACTGAAAAGAAACTCCCTTTTACTGCAAAGGCAATGATTGACATCCCTTGCTGGTTAGGACAGGAAATCAGCGATTCTCCATCTGCATTAAGTAGAAAATTGTTGGCCCAATTGTACTGAATGGGCCAAAATAGTCTAAGGCATGGAAACAATTTTCTAAGCACAGCCTGTTCCTCCAGGAGCGGGTAGCAGGTATGTTTGCCCAAGCATTTGCCCTGCATATACTAGGGTGCTCTGTGCATCCCCTCCTCCAGTCCTGACCCTGTGGCACCTGTCTTCTGCTGAGGTCCAGCCTCACACAGGCAGGGTACAACCAGCCCATGCACAGAAGGGCATCTGTGGAGTCCCGCCAAAAGAAAAGAATCTCTATTTCCCTAATCCATGTCATACTCCTTCTCCATATACCAGTTGTGTGAGAACTCAAACATATTATCCTGCATGGCTTGTTTCTAGTCGTTTGTTTGCTTTAAATGAAACTTTCCAGGTCATTTGAAAGGAGGGCTAATTCCTGTACCTCCCTACCCCAACCCCAATTAAGGTTTCTAGTTTCCATGTAAACCACAAATAAAGTAAACTTCCCTTTTTGACCTGTAAATTTGGGTTTCCTGATGTAGATTCTTATAGCCCTTTCCACTTTCTTTTTCCTTCATGTAACAGAGCAAGTAGAAAAAGCTATGATAGCAAGACTGTCAGCCTTTGGAATTTCCCATCGGTTTTAGCATAATGTTTTATACTTTGCACTTAAAATGAAAAATATGTAAATCAATAAAACCCTATGCACACAGATATGAAGAAATATGAATCAGCTGATGGGTGAGACAGGCTTTTTTGAGAGAGCTGAGCCACATAGTGAATTAAGGGAGCGACTCAGAGTCTTTTACCATCTGAATGGAGGTGGACACTGTGGGGCTTGTAAAAATCCCTAATCCACAATCCCATGAAATGGACCTAAAAAGCACAATTTCTCTATGTTTATTAAGTTGGGAATAGAAAGGACTTAATTTTTGCTATGGCCTAACCCAATGGATCACTATAAAGCAATAGTTTGCTAACTTGTCTAATCATCAGAATCACCTGAGAGACTTCATAAAAACAAAGACCTCAGGTCTCCCTCCAGGCCTCCTGGATCAGAATATACAAGAGGAAGCCTCGATATCTGGGTTCTCTTTAATTTCCCAGACATTGCTGTTGATCAGTCAGATTTAAGGGCCACTGTTACGAAAATTTTCCATTTCTCTACATTACATTCTTCAGGGGTGGTGAGTATATGACACAGAAGCCACCATTCTTCTCTCCTGATCCCATGATAGACATCACTAATAGATAACTACAGCCTTGGATGCTGAGCTCCCAGGTGGTCTCAAAATCCAACTCAATAAAGCACTTCAAGAGCCACTAGCAATCAGAATCAGCACAAAAGCTAGTAACTCATATGCCACCACAGCTCTATGAGATTACAGCCAGTGCTTAGAAGGAGAGCATTGAACCAAAAATCTAAACTCAAAATCCATAAATACACACACATGGCATACACTGTCATGCCTTATCATTTGCTGACTTCCGAGCAAGCATGTTAGAGTAGAATCCTCCCTGATCTAGAAAAAGGTTCATCACCACCATCAACCTTCTAAAGGTTCTCCCACAAGATGCAGGAGACCAACCAACGGGTCTCTCTCCAACCCTTTTCATTCTTCCCGCCCCTCCCTACGGTACCTGAACATACAGGAGTTTTATTCTGCACAGAAGAGCCACTGATGGGCTTCCCATCCGGGGTGACACACCAGCAGTACCCAGTGTAAGTATGGCACTGCACCTGTTCAGGGAAGTGAAAAGGGAAGAAAACCATAAGTCTCGGTCACAATATCAAGACTCATCTCCAACCCCTTTCAAAGCATCACCCATACGGTGAAAGAGCATCTTCCACCTCTCATCCCCACATCTGTCTCCAGAGTGTCTCTCATGGGTGGTCCAGTCAGTGAACAGCACTGGGTACATGGTTGCTGTGGGACTCCCACGCAAACCACAGCATTTTACCTGCTTCTCTCTTATTCCTCTTCACACTTAATACCTGTATTATACTGTGTTTTTCCTGAGATGGTTCTCACCAATACCTGTACATTTGTTTTCTCTAGCACTGGCATACGCTCCCATCCAACTGTAAAAAATTCTAACCCACCCTATTTTTGAGACACAGTTTCACTCTGTCACCCAGGCTGGAGTGCAGTGGCATGATCTCAGCTCACTGCACCCTCTGCCTCCTGGGTTCAAGCGATTCTCCTGCCTCAGCCTCCCAAGTAGCTAGGATTACAAGCATGCACCACCACACCAGGCTGATTTTTGTATTTTTAGTAGAAATGGGTTTCGCCATGTTAGCCAGGGTAGTCTTGAAGTCCTCACCTCAAGTGATTCACCTGCCTCGGCCTCCCAAAGTACTGGGATTACAGGCGTGAGCCACCGCACCCAGTCAAAAATTCTAATCCTTGAACTAATTTGGCAAGTACAAGTTGGAATGACACCACTGCAGATTGAAATGACATTTCTTTAACAAGCAGAGACAAGTGGTAAGCTTTTCTTCTTTGTCTAGCTTCTCCTAGCATCCATTCATAGATCAGCTTGCCTATTGATCTTGTGACTGTCTTGAGATGAGGGCACACATGACGGGATTAAGGCAAGGGTAAAACCTGCAGGTTTTATTTCTAGATGCCCTGCTGCACCACTGTGTGATCTTCCTCAAGCCTCCAAGATCAGGTCTGCCTGCCTGGGAATAGCAAAAAGGAATGAGGCTTTTTTCATCCTTCAGGGTAGCTCTTCTTTCTCTTCCAGTAGCTGTCACCCTACCCACCACCTCCCGCCCCACCCCACTATCCTGCTTTCAATCTGGAGTTCCTAAACACACATTAAGGCCTACTTCCCTGCTTAGAATCCTTCAGTGATTCGCGTTGGGATCTAGGATAGAGATGAAACTCATTGGTATGCACAAGGTCCTCTGTGATCTGCCTCCATCTATTTCCGTAGCCTCATTTCATGCCCATGTCCCAGCACACACCCTCCACTCTGGCCACAGAACCCTCTGATGCTCCCAAACACATTTTAGTTTCTCCTGATTCTGAGCCTTTGTTTGCTCCAACCATTCCATTTGTCTGGAATGCCCTTCCCCAACCCATCTCCCATCCACTCCTAATCCCTCGTATTCCCCTCCTCCTTTGTGATACACCTCCTCAAAGCAGTCCCAGCCTCCCCTGCCTCCTTCCTCTGATCCTCCCACACACCCTGGGGCCCCCAAAATCACAGCCCTTATCACTGTGAGCTCTAGCTGTTGATTCATCCAGTCCACTCCCCCCTCTCAAGATCGTGACCTCAGGGACTGCATGCTAGTTATTTCTACATTCCCAGAATCTAACATAATGCCTGACATTCATTGTAGGTGATTGATGGGTTGAATAAAGGCATCCATTATCCTATTTTCTCAATTCTTGGTCTCCATCAATTATAAAAATGCAATGTCAATTTAAACAACCCCACTACATTAAATGTAGATCTCAATTACAAGACATGTGCCAACTGCAAAGATATTAAGGTGTGAAGAAAATGTGCTTCTTGAAATCAAGGACATATTGAAATCAAGGCTAGACAGTAATAGCACACAAATTGAGTGGTAAGGGATGGAAGGGAGCAGTGAGAGGAGACATCTGACAGCCTTGGTGAAATCCAAAAGTTATCACAAAGGCAGAAAAGCTGTAGAAAGGCTTCTGCTCTCGTGTGGACACCAAACACCGTCATTTTCCCCAAGACAAGTTGTTTCGCTATGGACCTATCGACAGAAATCAAGGATAAGACAAGATAGGGGGAACCTTGTTCCTACCACGAAGGTGCATGCTGTCTAAATGAGGCATTTCCCGCAGCTCCTGCATCTGAGACCCTGCTCGGGTCTTCTGGTCAATGCCTTTACCCCAGTACCATGTCCCACACCCACTTCATCTCATGGCCATGGTTGCTACCCCAAATGTTCATCCAAGAGCAATATCTTGGGGTCACGTCAACACTACTTTCTGAGGAGCCTTAATGGTGGAATGGAAAAAAATCCAGATAGACGTGGATTTGAATCCTGGTCCAGCCAGTTATGAACTAGATACATCGCTCAGCTCTTTGAGCCCATCTATAAAATGGGGATAACAACGTGAAACCTGAAGGTAAGGAAGTCCATTGTCTGGCACCCAGCGAAGGCTGGATATGGAGTGGCGGTGGTGAGAATTGTTCTCAGCGATGCCAGAAATGCCTGGCAAGCTGGCCTTTTCCAGGGCCAGATCTCCTCTAGTAACCTCCACAGACTTGGGTGGGAAATGCTGCTGGAAATGTGGAGTTGATCCCTTCAGACTCCATCCACCCTAGAGGGGATATTTCCTAAAGACAGTTCCTTGCCAGTGGCAGCAATTTAATGGAGCCTGGCAGGCTGCTCTCTCCTCCTTGGTCAATAATCACCTCTGGGGAAACATGTCCCAGGAGCTGAATGGCCACGCTGACTCACTCCCAGGGCCCTTGACTCCCATGGCCAAGGTAGGCCTCTGTCTCCATGAGGACTGTGCCCTCAAGTCCATCGCCCGAGGCTGTGTCTCTGGCCCAGTGCTGTGCTGCGGGAGCCAGGCACTGCAGTTAAGCAGGCTGCAGAGAACGGGCTGGTTCAAAAGCTGCCTCCTCTCAAGCATGCACAGAGTGCCAGCAAAGGCTAGTGGGGACAGAAGCAAATTCATGAGTAAGAGGCTAAGCCCAAAGCTTTGTTTCTGGGGATATAATCTGACCTGTGGGCTCAGAGGGTCCCAAGGGCCACATTCTCACTGAGTGTGCCCATTGTATCCCAGTGGGCACATGAACACTGTCTCCCAGCTCCCGGCTGGCCCAGAGGCCCAAACACAGCTCCTTTCTCCCCAGAGCCCTCAGCATTTTTCTCAGTCCAGGCTCCAAAGTAGAGAGCCCAGATTACAAAATCCCAGGCTGGGAGCTCCTTCCAAGTCCTATAAAACTGAAATCAAATGAGGAATTGTTGCCATGTGCCTGTGAGGGCGGGGGTATACAATAATGGCACACCTACCCCAGGTGTGCCGCAGGTGTGGGGACAGCCATGGGCAAAGGGTGGCACAGAAGACCCGAGCAAGGTCTCAGATCCAGGAGCTGAGGGAAGTGGCCGAGCACAAGCTCTTAGCTGAAGGAGCCCCGAGTGAATCAGCCCATGATTCCACAATGAGAGGTTGTTTCTAAGTTGTCTAGGGAGTTTTCAAGGTGACTTCTTGCAGAAAAAGAAGTTACATGGAGACAGTCTGCAGCCGGCCTTCCAGCACCTCCCAGCTCCGCCACTTAACTCCTTCTGCAGCCTTGAAAAGCTTTTCAATCACACTAAGCCTCGGTCTGTCTGTATCTTTTTAAAAAGGGAAGATAATCATGACAATAATACTTATCTTAGTTGTTAAGAGAATTCAATTTGATAATGTAAATAAAACACTTAGCTCACAGGGTAAGTGCCCAGTTAACTTTCAGCTATTTATTTTTATTATCATTGTGTTATATTTTAGCAAACTATCTGTACACTCAAAAATGCCAGAGCCAGATTATCTGATGAGGACAAAAGAACATCCTATTCTGAGCAGCCTGAGGGGAAGTGGCAGTCTAAAGTCAGCAAAACGTTTGCAAAGGTTTGGGTGGAAGAAGGAGATGTTTGTTTTCACATAGAAATAGTTCTATTGCCAGCAGAGGAGAGAAACGTTTCTTGCAGAAAAGCGATCAGGGTGTAAATTCTTTGAATTGATGGTTTCTATATACATGATCAAGATGTAAACTCTACCTGGCTTAGCTTCCTCCCTTGCAGATTTATCCTTTTAAATTAATAAGTAATACCCTTCCTTTTTCCCTAAGAGCCTCAAGTTGGTCAACTTTTAGACTTAATCTCAGAAAACCCAGGGCCAAGAGGATCCATGAGGCAATTGGCTATTTCAAATATCTCCCTGTGCAGTTCTCAAAACTCATGGTTGTTCTGGCCCAAAAGGTACAGATACAAACAGTGAAATCTGCTCCTATCCCACTCCGAAGCATCCTAGGAAGGCTGAAGTGTCAACAGATGGCTCCTCCTTAAGGGACAAAAAGTGTTTACTCATCAACCTAAGTGAGGTTACCTTCTGCTTATATTGCAACTGTACTGTAGAATGTAACCAGGGGGAGCGGGGCCAGGTGCGGTGGCTCATGCCTGTAATTCCAGCACTTTGGGAGGCCGAGGCAGGCAGATCACTGGAGATCAGGAGTTCGAGACCAGCCTGGCCAACATGGTGAAACCCCGTCTCTACTAAAAATACAAAAATTAGTAGGCGTGGTGGCAGATGCCTGTAATCCCAGCTACTCGGGAGGCCGAAGCAGGATAATTGCTTGAAGCCACGAGTTGGAGGTTCCAGTGAGCCAAGATCACACCCCTGCACTCTAGCCTGGGCAATAAAGTGAGATTCCGTCTCCAAAAAAAAGAATGTAACTAGGGGTCTCAAAGGTCCTTTAAGGCAGTGTGTTCCTAGATAAGTAAGTTTCATCTCTGCCTCATACACTTTAATATTTTTGGCAAGAAGCCCTTTACATAAACAGCCTAGTGGTATATTTCAGGCCAACCCCCATCCAGATAAAGACAGATCTGAATTATTTTAATCCTGCTAATCTTCAACATTAGCCCAAATTCTGAACACCTGGAAGGATGTGGCAGGCTACCACTCCCAACAAGGCAGGTGAGCAACCGATGAGCAGAGAAACCTCAGCTCCTGGGGGTAAAGCAAGTCAGGGAGCAAAGGGGAAGAAAGCAAAGAGAGAAATGGGGCCGACAGATGAACAACACATATAGACAACTATCACCCGCAGGTGCCATGTCCAACGCAAAAAATACCACCTTCCACTTTCATGATGGCTTCTCAGTCACCATCAAAGGTCTATGCATTATCTCACTTGGGCCTCAAAGCCACCCTGTGTGCAAATCTTTTATAGGAGAGGTACAGAGAGCAGAAGTTATTTGTTCAAAGCTAGTTAATAACAGCACAGGACATTGGAATCCCAATATCCAAGCAATCATAAAATTTCAGAACTGATGGACTGGAAAAAGCCTTAGAGGTCACCAATCTAACCCAAACACTTCAAAAATGAGGAAACTGAGGCCCAGAGACAGAGTAGTAGTTGGCTCCCAGTACCTTGTCCCGGCAGATGGAAAGCTCTCAGACCTCAAGGAAGGAGGAAGAGACAGGAAGCGACTGAGTCTCTTTGAGCCTTGTAATTTTCTGGAAAATAGAACTCTTTGGGGTCATGTAAATATGCCCACCAGGGAAGCAGCTGGAAGAGAGTCTTCTGCTCCCGTTTCAATGAGAGGCCTTTTCTGGAGTAGCATTGGCGCCTCCACCTGCTGCGGGCTGCCCTGCTTCCCCTGGGATGTTCTCTGGTGGTTTCTATGGCAGGGGTGAGGCCTCACCTCCCAGACTCGCTTCTTTGTTGCTTCTTCTTTCACTCTCCTACCAATCACCCTTGCTTTCCTAGGAAACCAGAGAGGAAACCAGTCTCTCTGCAGGTGCCCACTTTCTTCTCTTTTCTCCAGAAATGTGAGGCTGCTGTTCTCTCCAATTTGATACACTGATGAATGAATGCAGCTTGTGTTCTGTGAGGTGTGAATAGAAATAATGAGGGATAAAGGTGTCCTCTGGCCAAATAACTTTGGAAATATTGGGTTAAACAAAGTTAAAAGATTTCTTTACTGCAGAACTTCTCCTAGCTTTACATCAATTAATGATTTATCCCTAAGAGGAAGATACCATTTGCAGCAATTCCTAAACTTATTAAACTAGGGGACTGATACAGTTTGGATGCATGTCCCCATCCAAATCTCATGTTGAAATGTAATCCCCAGCGTGGGAGGTGGGGCCTGTTGGGAGGTGACTGGACCATCGGGCTGGGTTTCTCATGAATGTTTAGCACCATCTCCTTGGTTTTCACGACAGCGGGTGAGTTCTTGTGAGATCTGGTCGTTTAAAAGTGTGTGGCACCTCCCCTCCCTCTCTCCTGTTCCTGCTCCTGCTCCTGCTCTGGCCATGTGATTTGCCTGCTTCCCCTTCCCCTTCCGCCATGATTGTAAGTTTCCTGAGGCCTTTCCAGAAGCGGAGTAGATGCCAGCATCATGCTTCCTGTACAGCCTGCAGAACTGTGAGCCAATTAAACCCCTTTTCTTTATAAATTACCCAGTCTCCAGTATTTCTTTATAGCAACGCAAGAATGGACAAATGCAGGGACCCTCCCCTAACTTTTACACAGGGAGCATTGGACAGGACAAGTGTTCTCTGAAATGTGCTTGGGGTCAAGGGAAAAAGCAGTATAATGAATTACAAGGCCTTGCTGTATTTTTTCACTTTGTCCCATCCTACTTTTTTGCAGTCTAGATATCAGGCTCTCAGTTCACTATGCTTGAAATAATTTCCTTCCGATGACAACCCCTCCTCTCTTTTTGTAATGCTTTGTCAAGCTATGTATTTGCTAAGAAATCCATCCTGAATTGCCTCAGAACTTCAAGGACAACTGGGATCCCATGGAAGGCACAGTGCCTTCTCACCCTGTGGCTTCATTTCTCCCCATCTGTCTCTTTGTGCTTCTTTTGCAAAATAGAAATCATGAACCATATGCAATGGGACAGGCTTGATTCAGCATGCCTGGTAGCAGCTACAAAACATGTAATGAAAGGACTGCTGTCATGTATATGAACATTTCCTAGTGGAAAAAGGTTAAACTACAAGTAAAAAGAATGTGAGTATTTTTCTAACTCTCTTTTGGCAGTGAGAGTATGAGACTGTTTTTTCTTTTTAACCTGCCCATTACTCCAAATCGGATAGCAGGGTTTTTGGATTAAGCTAATGCACAGTGAAATTTAAACATCTTGCTGTTGGTCCTACTGATGGCTTCATGTCAGAGCAGTATTTTCAGCTGCTCTGTTTTCCTTTTGGCTGCATTCCCTGTAGGATGTCTGAGCAGTTGTGGTTTTCCATGGGTGCCATGGGCTCTGGCTGGAAGACTGATCACCTGAGATGGCCACTTATGTCCCCACCCCCAAGAACATCTCTCTCCATCAGAATCTGAGGGAGAAGATTGTTTATTGGGTATGGATGAGAGTCATCTGGAGGGCTTATGAAAACATTGCTGGGCCTCACCCACAGAGCTTCTGCATTCATTGAGTCTGGAGTCATCTGGAGCATTTGCATTTCTAACAGGTTCTCTGGCAATGCTCTTGCCGCTGGGTCCAGGGACCACACTTCATGAGCCACTGTGTCAAAGGAGCATCCCACCCTCTTTCTGGCATTTATCATGAAATACTCAAGAAACAAGTAGTTTTCTACGTGAGAGTTTGGGAACAAGGGGCCTTGTGACCCTATTTGTTTCCAAAGCTTTTATATTCCCAATGTTTTAATGACATGGTATTTTAATGCATGAATCTAGTGACTGCAGTATTAAATCTTCTGGGTGATTTCACACATGGACAAGAGTTTGACTGCAGTGAGAAGTGGTTAAGGGGGAGAGAAGGAAGGGATGGTGTAATTCTTTTGGTCTGTCTAGCATGAGCTGTCCTTTCCTCAGTTTGGAATAGGTTATCGCACACATCTTCTCCTCATCTTTAGTCAGGTTTGGCTGAGAAGCAACAGGAGTAGAAGGGAAAACATGGTTTTGGAGACAAAAAGACCTCAGTGTAAATACCATCTCCACTACTAGCTGTGTGACTTCAGCAAAGTCACTTAACCTCTCTGAGCCTATCTATGAAACAGGATTCATGGTACCACCTTGAAGATTATTAAGAAGACAAAATGAAACAAGATATATAAAGCATCTAAAACAGTGTAGATATAGGATATGTGCTTAGCACATGCTGATTTTATCCTTTTCCCCTACCTTTTGCAGAGGATCTAGGCCAGGGGTGTCCAATCTTTTGGCTTCCCTGGGCCACACTGGAAGAAGAACTGTCTTGGGGTACATATAAAATACACTAACACTAACAATAGCTGATGAGCTTAAAAAAAATCTCATAATGTTTTAAGAAGGTTTACGAATTTGTGTTGGGCCTCATTCAAAGCGATCCTGGGCAGCATGTGGCCTGCGGGCCATGGGATGGGCAAGCTTAATCTAGGCCATAGCCTGAAAGCACTGCTATTCTTATTGACTGTAGACATTGTCTCCCACTTTATGCCAAGTCTAGGGAGGATTGCCTGTTGGGGAATGAAGAATTTTTCCTTTAAGAGTATTTACCTCATCTGCCAGAATTTAAGAGGAGATGCAGGAAAGGAAGCTAATCCTTCAATTTCAAATCCTCCTAAATATGGGAGTCTTTGTCAACTGCATTTTTTATGAGTTGATGGTGTGATATGGCTGCCAACATGGCATTAGTTAGGAGTGGTGTGTTTAGAACAAGAGATGGCCTTGTTCTTCCCCAGCCTGCTCATGACCACATCTGAAATCTTGTGTCCAATGTGAGGAAGGATGCTATAAGGAAGGCCCTATAAGAAGGGCCTTGGCAAATTAGACTCAGAAGAAGGAGGCCAGATGGAAAGATATATAAATCCCTATGGTATGGGAATGAGTGCTAGAACTAAGGATTTCTGCCAGGGGAAATAAATTGTTGGCTGAAAGAGAAGATTTCACAAGGATATAATGGTGCTCATCTTCAAGTCTTTCTGTGGATTCTATAATTCCCATAGCTAGAACTGAAGTCATCTCTTGGAAGTTATAGGAAGACAGCTCTCAAGTCAAGGTAAAGAGGACTTTCCAAAAAAATTGTCCCAAAATTCACTATGGATTTTTTCATTGTGAGAATAAGCTTCCTGTCTCTGAGAGCAATTAAGCAGAAGGTGGAAGACTACTTGGGTAGAGACTGTAAGTGGAGCGTGAGCCCTGGATTGGAGTGGGGTAGGTAGAGGAAGAAGATAAACCAGATGTCTCTGAGGTCCTCTTTAATCCAGAAGGTCCATAATTCCACAACCCTGCTGTAAGGTGAACTTTTGCTCCTGAAGAGTAGGGAGGAGATTTATAAACTAGTACCTAATTGTCAGTGTTAAGACCACCAATCCAATTATATGGTGAAGAATATTTTTTGTATTTTCCAAAAAGTTTGAACAGCATCCCCCACAAAGGACATATAAAGACATTTGGAACACCCGAGTGTTAGGGCTCCGGGGACCCAAGAAACTTCACTGTCTTCACTCCTGTTCCTCTGTCTGGTGCCTAGAATGGTCCAGGTTTTGTAAACAGCAAATATGATACCTCTTGTTCCTTTAATTTTATTTCTATCTTGGGGGTTAAGTATCAAATATATTTTTATGTTTAAAAAGTACATAATAAGAAAGTCCCTCATAAATAGGAGCATTTACTCAGATGAGAACTGTGAGAACGCTGGCTGGTGGGGAAGACAAAAGTGGCCTGCAGGAGTGGAGCCTTTCCTTGTTCTCCTGTCTGACTTCACTTTTAATAAAACTTTTCTGTCTTCACACCTCCCACCTGAGTTCCTATTATTCTTCCCTATTTTGACATGAAAAAAAATTCTGATCCCTTCAATTTTGCAGAAGAGTTTAGTTGACTGACCTGCCGGGTCACCTCCCAGCATGTTACGTGCACTCACAGAGCAGTGGCAAAAGCCCTAAACGTGTGTCTTAATGGCTCTGCCTGAAAGTTTCCTGAGTAAATGTCTGTTGTGGGCCTACTGTGTGCCTAGCCACCTGATTGGACATTAGCTCTTGTTTCATAAAATCCTAAAAAGTGGTGTTTTCCTCCTCAGAGATCAATTGAACCCCCTTCCCAATGTAGGAACACTCCCTCCCATCCCCATGGCACAGCTGATGGATATCCACTTGGTCTCTGATTGCCCACTTTCCAGGATGGGAAGTTAAGTCCTCTTTGAGTCAGACATTCTGTCTGTGAGCTACTCTACTTGTCAAAAGTTCTTCCCTATTTCGAGTCAGAATCCTACTCTTTATATACTGTACTCAGTGATCCTGGGTCAGCTCTGTGGGACTACACTTAAAAGACTTATTATCATTCACAGACAAAGGTTTGGATCTGGCTCTCAGGTATCCCTTTGGTCATCTTTTTATTATTATTATTATTATTATTATTATTTGAGAGTCTTGCTCTGTCACCCAGGCTGGAGTGCAGTGGCGCCAACTCGGCTCACTGCAATCTCCACCTCCCGGGTTCAAGCGATTCTCCTGCCTGAGCCTCCCAAGTAGCTGGGACTACAGGCATGTACCACCACACCTGGCTAATTTTTTGTGTGTTTTTAGTGGAGATGGGGTTTCACCATGTTAGCCAGGCTGGTCTTGATCTCCTGACCTCAGGTGATTCACCCACCTCGGCCTCCCAAAGTGCTGGGATTACAGGCGTGCGCTACTGCACCCGGCCTAGTCATCTTTTTATCCATCCTTTGGTTGTTATCTCTGGCTCCATTGGATATTCCTCACATGACATCATTTCCCAACTTTACTCACCTGAGTCACCCTCCTGAATATGCCCTAGTCTGGCAACATCACTTTAAAAGATGGCAATGTCTCTTAGAGGGGCAGTGTGGAATCATGGTTAGGATCAAGAACTCTGGAGCCAGGGTACTTGGGTTTGAATACTGACTCTGCCACTTGCACACTGTGAGACCCTGGGCAAGCTACACAGCTTCTCTGTGGTTCAGTTTCCACATCAATAAAATGGGAATGTAACAGTGCTTATAGTGAGGACTGAATAACTTAACATGTGTCAGGCAAATATAAAACAGCCTGGCACCTTGTGTATAGGTTAAGAAAGTGGTGGTGTTGTTGATGATGATGATTATCTAAAAAAGAAGAGCAGTTCCTTTAATTCCACCACTTTGGGAGGCCAAGGCGGGCAGATCTCGAGGTCAGCAAATCGAGACCATCTTGGCTAACACAGTGAAACCCCGTCTCTACTAAAAATACAAAAAATTAGCCGGGCGTGGTGGTGGGCACCTGTAGTCCCAGCTACTTGGGAGGCTGAGGCAGGAGAATGGCGTGAACCCAGGAGGTGGAGCTTGCAGTGAGCCAAGATCGCGCCACTACACTCCAGCCTGGGCGACAGAGTGAGACTCTGTCTCAAAAAAAAAAAAAAAGAATACCAGAGAGAGTGACTGAAGCCTCCCATTACTGAGCCTCTCCTCTCCCACAGACAGCAGGAAAGCCAGAGCAGGAGGCTTCCATCTTTCCCTCCCTCCCTCCCAAGCACACTGCATTGCAGAAGAGCAGCTGCAGATACCGCCCAGAGCTCACTCCTTTCATTTCCACAATAGACAAATTGTAGGGACAGAATCACTAAGGGCTACAGGGAGCTCGGATGCCCAGCTGGGAGCACCCAAACCTTGCATGCTTACTCCAAAGCAAATGATGCCAGCCAATCTGAAGAGGACTCACAGTGGCCATTCAGCTAGAAAACAGCCATTGAAGAGCAGGACAGAGCAGAGAGTGGGATAGGCGAGTCCCCAGAGAGCACAATGGAGACAGTGTTCTGAGCACAAAGCGTGCTCCATCCACCCTCATCTTATCACACATCCTTGCACCTGATGGGTGATGGGGGCATGGGGACCAGTTCTTCCATTGAAAACATGATAGTAGAGGCTCCCAACACATGCAAGAGATTAGACCGGTCACTTCCTAGACAAGTCCTTCCTGCACATGAATGGGTCAGACCCTGCTCTTGCCATCACTGACAAAGTTAAAAATTAAATTTCGTAACTGCATAACTGAGATTGTTCACTCACTGCAAATGATATGCCACCTTGACCTCCCACAGGAAGGCAAAAGTAGGGTGCCCTTGGGAAGCTGGCTACTGGCTGCTGCTCACTGGGGCTCCAGCTTCTACCTCTCCCAGATCTTGATGTGCTGAGAACCTTAATGCCCACAGAGGATACGCCATTGGGGGAGGGGCGGGAGGGACCAGCACAAGCACACCGCTCTACTCCGACAGGCAGTAGCATTTCTCCTCTACAGTTTCAAGGCTCCCTGTAACCCAGAGTTTCTAATTTGAAAAGGAATTCCCTTTCCTGCTTGTAGATTCAAAGAAGTATTGGCCTGTCAGAGACTGAAAGCTCTTAGAGATATACAATGCTCATCTTTGGTGATTCTAAAAAGTTTCCTACCCCCATTTGGTACCGTTCTCTCCCAACCTTTCCCTTTTCTTACAAATATCATGCCAAGGGTACTGACATTGTCTCCAAACCTAGGACCACAGCACAGGCTACAGGTTCCTGTGCATTCCCCCTACTAGATGCTCTGCCTCGGTGAGTGGAGCCAGCATTAACCCCATACATGGGTGCAGAACAACCCTCATCTCACTGTCCAATTACAAAGAAAAAATAAGATTTCAAAACTTACTACAAGGTTATAGTAATCAGTAGAGTGTGGCACTGGCATAGGACTAGACATATAGATTAAGGAATAGAATTGAGATTCCAGAAATAAGCTTATTTTTGATGAGAGGACCAAGACAATTCAAGATGGAAAAACAGTCTTTTCAACAAGTAGTCCTGAGACAACCGAATATACACATGAAAAGGAATGAAGTTATAAGAAATAAAAGAGAAAAAAAAGATAAATTGAACTTCAAAACTAAAGCTTTTTGGCCAGGCGCAGTGGCTCACGCCTGTAATCCCAGCACTTTCGGAGGCCAAGACAGGCAGATTGCTTGAGCTCAGGAGTTCAAGACCAGCCTGGGCAACATGACAAAACATCGTCTCTACAAAAAACACAAAAATTATCCCTGCATAGTGGCATGCACCTGTAGTCCCACCTACTCAAGAGGCTGAGGTGGGAGGATCGCTTGAGCCCAAGAGGCCGAGGTTGCAGTGAGCCAAGATGGTACCACCACACTCCAGCCTAGGTGACAGAGTGAGACCTTCTCTCAAAAAAAAAGAAAAGAAAAGAAAAAAGAAAAAAAGAAGCTTTTGTGCTTCAAAGGAAATTATTGAGAACGTAAAAAGAACCCACAGGATGGGAGAAAATATTTGTGAATCATATATCTGATGAGTCTGGTACCTAATGCCCAGTGGCTCACGCCTGTAATCCCAGCACTGTGGGAGGCTAAGGCAGGCAGATTACTGAGGTCAGGAGTTTAAGACCAGCCTGGCCGACATGGTGAAACCCCATCTCTAATATAAAAATACAAAAATTAGCCAGGCTTGGTGGCACGCGCTTATAATCCCAGCAATTCCAGAGGCTGAGTCAGGAGAATCACCTTAATGCAGGAGGCAGAGGTTGCAGTGAGCCAAGATGGTGCCACTGCACTCCAGCCTGGGTGACAGAGTGAGTCAGATCCATCTCAAATAAAAAAAAAAGAGAGAGAGTCTTGTATCTAGAATATATAAAGAGCTCTTGTAACTCAATAATGAAAAGATAAGTAACTGAATTAAGAAATGGGAAAAGGATCTGAGTAGACATTTCTCCAAAGATATAGAAATGGCCAAAAAGCACATGAAAAGATGCTTGACATCATTAGTCATCAGAGAAATGCAAATCCAAACACCATGAGATACCACTTCACACCCACTAGAAAAGATACTAATAAGAAAGATGGAAAATAACAAGTGTTGACAAGGATGTGGAGAAACTGGAACCTTCATACATTGCCGGTGGGAATGTAAAATGGTTCAGCTACCTTGGAAAACAGTCTGTCAGTTCCTCAAAAGCATAAACATAGTTACCATATGACCTAGCAATTCTACTCCTAGGTATATGCCAAGAGAATTGAAAACAGATAAACACAAAAAAATGTACACAAATCTTCACAATAGTACTATTTATAACAGCCAAAAAAATGGAAACAGGCCAGGCGTGGTGGCCCACACCTGTAATCCTTTGGGAGGCTGAGGTGGGCATATCATTTGAGCTCAGGAGTTCAAGAACAGCTTTGGCAACATGGCAAAACCCCATCTCTACCAAAAATACAAAAATTTAGCCAAGTGCAATGGTGCACACCTGTGGTCCCAGCTACTCAGGAGGCTGAGGTAGGAGGATCAATTGAGACCAGGAGGTGGAGGTTGTAGTGAGTCCAGATCATGCCACTGCACTCCAGCCTGGGCAACAGAGCGAGACCCCATCTCAAAAAATAATAAAAACTAAAAATAAAAAATAGAAACAACCCAAATGTCCATCAGCTGATGAATGAATAAATAAAACAGGATATATATATATATATATATATATATATATATATATATATATATATACACAATAGAATATTGCTTGACAATAAAAAGGAATGAAGTACTGATTCATGCTACAACAAGGCTGAGCCTTGAAAACATTATGCTGATTAAACTAAGCCAGGCAGAAGGACCACATATTATTATTCCATTTGTATGAAATGTCCAGAATAAGCAAATCATAGAAATAGAAAGTAGATTAGTGGTTGCCAAGGACTGAGGAGAGAGGTAATGGGAAGTGAATGCTAATGCGTACAAGATTTCTTCTCGGGTGACAAAAATGTTCTGGTATTAGATAATGATGATGGTTGCATAACTGTGAATTTACTAATAACCACTCAATAGCATATTTTAAAATGGTAACTTTTATGATGCACAAATTATATGTCAATACAGTTATTATTTTAAAGAATAAATAAAAACAGGTGGCCGGTCCACAGACCACAGTTTGCCAACCTCTGAACGAGTTCAACTCTTCCCAGTTGAGCAAACCAAGAACCTAAAGATGAAGAAAACTAACATCTGCTAAGCAACAATTATGTGCTAAATAGAAGACATTTTGTATAAATTATCACTGTACATTAACTGGTTGTTTGGAACAAAAGCAATTCACTGAAAAACACATGTAAAACAAGTAGTGAGATGCTCTGGACACAGTAGATGTTCACACTGTAATAATAATATGTTTTTTGAGCATATAACAAAAAAGGAAAAAGAAAAGCAATAAGTGCCCAACAGTGGGGACCATTTACCATTTATACCATCTGTACATAAAGGATGGGCTTGAATTTTTGGCAGTATGACTGCTTTAAAAAAAAAAGCTGGCATTGTCCACAGACCAAAAGGCAGGAGGTCTTTATAAAGCAGGGCACCATCCACTAAACACACACAGAGCCCACTTTTTCTGCAGCATCCAAAGGGGCCAACTGTGG
Organism: Homo sapiens; assembly: GCF_000001405.40. NCBI lineage: Eukaryota > Metazoa > Chordata > Mammalia > Primates > Hominidae > Homo > Homo sapiens. The sequence goes on along the minus strand of NC_000014.9, from coordinate 69,960,364 downwards.
CTGAAGAAGCTTGGAAACATTCCAGCTCACAGATGCACCCCAGGTCTCAGTACTTCACCTAGAGGGTCCTCTACACTGTCTGAGAGAGCCAAACTGTTGCTCTAGGCAAGATATATCCACATGAAGACAAAAAGGCCCTTGGCCCCTGAACTCCTATTAGACTCCCAGGCTCATCAAAGATAGGACAAACCCCTTCCACCCTATGAGGATGTTCAGCCTGCCAATGTTTCATCAGTCCAGGCCAACAAAGTTTCACAGTTCATGTCAAGCATCCAGACCTTCAGTACTTGCTGGGAATGTGAAAGAAGAAAAACCAGACGGTAAACCAAGGTGTTCCCAGGGCAAGCTAGTCACACAACTCGAGTCTACAGGGGTGACGTCAGGAAGATGCGTTTCTATACTGTGGGGCTGGGGAGCTAAAAAGGAACAATAAGATCTGCTTCATAGCTCAACCCCAGGCACTTAGGAAACAAGTGTGTATTTCCCTAGGTTTTAGGAAATACAATAGTAAGAACTATGGAAATGACAATAGAGCCCAATGCCTTTGTCAAAAAGCCACAGAACATTTTTTAAGCTTCCAACTTCAGAACAAAGCATCATCAAGAAGAAGTTACATCTCCCCAGATCCCTATATGCAAGAGATCCATGCATATAGATCCCTATATGCAAGGGATCCATGCATATAGATCCCTATATGCAATGACCTCAGGAAATAAAAAAATCAGGTACATGTGTGCACTGTTGGAGGGGAGCAGTGGTTAGAATTAGAAAATGGGAGAAGTGGTAGTGCCCATACAACTATATCAAGAAAGATTGTTCCTGGACCACGGAGCTCAAAGACAGGAAACATAACACATTTTTTTCCACACAGAAGTAACATAATGAATAGAGTTTTATATTCTATATTATTAGAACTATAATCTGTCTACATAAAAAATTAAAATATCTTGGGAATGAGTCTGATAACAACCAATAATCAACCACATGGTTGCTCAACATTTATGGAAAGCGACGTGGTAGTATGCATCAAATGCCTTAAAAAGTGCATGGCCTTTTGACACAATAGAGAGCTGCTGGAAAGTTAATCTCCAAATTTTTAGGATTCGTGATACATTCATACAATGAAATACAATGCAGACATTTTTTAAATGAGACAGTGTTGCATGTAACTTACTGGGAAATAAGCCCATAATATACTTAGCTAAGAAAATATTGTAAAACAATATATAACATTACACCATTCTTGTCCTAAATAATGACAATAAGTACACACAAGGAAAAAAATCTAGAGGGTTAGACTTAACTGTTGCTATTTCAGGGTCATGAAATCACTGGCTTAATCTTTCTACCTTATATACTTCCATATTGTCAGAATTTTTTTAACAGAATGTGTATAGCTTTTCTATTTAGAAAAAAATGAAAATATTTATCATCTTAATTATCTGGTTAATTAAATCCCTAGTACACAGACCTACACAAATATATTACATAAGCCTCTACAACACATGCGTTTGGAGGTTGCATAGTGTGGCTATGTCATTTGTTTAAGCAATTTTCTAGTATTGGATATTTAGGTTGTTTCCAATTTTTTGCCACTACAAACAAAACTTGGATTGTAATCCTTGTGGCTAAATAGTTTCACATATTTTTAGTTACTTCCTTAGAATAAATTCCTAGAAGTGGAATTGCAGGCCCAAAATGTGGACACGATTGAAGACTTTTGACCCATATTACAAGACTATCCCACTAAAAAGTCAGTGCCAATTTACTTTCCAAACTGCAATAGAAGGGCACCCTTTTCCCTTTATCTGACCCTGAATATCATCATCTTTTCCCAGTTTTTGCTAATTTAGTAAGCAAGAGCATTCATCATCATTTTTATTTGTATTTCTAAAATGACAAAAGAAGATAACATCATTCAGATTCACTTATTGACTATTATTATCATATGGCTGGTTTTTTGCTATCTCTTGCCCACATTTTCACTAGGATCTTTTTCTTTCTGAATTGTAAGAGTTCTTTACATAAGATTAGCTCTTTGTTGTTAAGGCTAATGTGTGTTGTTTGCTTTTAGTTTAGTTTTTCTCTTTTTAGAAACAGGGTCTCACTATGTTATCCAGGCTGGAGTGGAGTGGCTATTCACAGGTGCAATCATAGAGCAATATAGCCTTGAACTCCTGGACTCAAGCAATCCTCCTGCCTCAGCCTCCCAATTAGCTGGGACTACAGGCTTGTGCCACCATGCTCAGTTTTGCTTTTAGTTTTGTTTAAGGTATTTGTGTCCAAAAATTTAAAATTTGTATATATTTTCTTAACAATAAAAGGCATTCAGGATTCCAAATAACTGACTTATAAATGAGCTTTCGAAATATTATTGTTTGTATATTGTCTTTTATATAGTTACTTTATCATATGTCTTAATCTCTTTTCTGCGTGTAAACTCCTTGAAGGCAGAGGTCATGACATTTTTTTGAATCCTCCCTAGCAACCAGCACACAGCCCACAATATAGCAGAGCTCAAAAATATCTGGGATGAAAAGATACTGTGCGTGGGGATTTGCTTTGAAGCAATCCAGTTTGGGGGCAGGAGATGGAAATGAGGTAAAGATGAAACAGAACTGGCCATTTCTTAATCATTGTTGAAGCTGGGTGATGGGTATATGTTCATTATACTATTATGTCTACTTTTTTGTATCTTTTTTTAATTTCCATAATCTAAAGATTGTGTTTTTTAAAATGTTTGTTTCATTGATTGGTCAACAGCATTAGAAAGAGAACTTCTGCAACAACAATGGTGATAGAAATGGAATACATATGTATCAAGGCCACTTCTGTAGCCCAAAAAAGTTAAGAGCACAGCCTTGGATATTAGGCAGGCTTGAGTACAACTTGTCTTAGGCTCTCAATATTAGGCAGGCTTGAGTACAAATTGTCTTAAGCTTAGGGACCTCAAGTCAGCTATTCAACCCCACTGAAACTCAATTTTTCTTTATACATAAGCGTATTAATAACTCTCAAAAGGTTGTAGTAAAGATTAATGGGTGTAAAACACAGGGCCTAGCACCTGATAGCACTCAATAAAAAGTGGGCATCATTGTCATTCAGTGATGCACACACTTGCCAAGCTCCAGCCAACACAGCCTGATGGTGACAGCCCAACACCCTTCCACTGCAGCTGAGATTTCAGTTAATCAGCTTGGGCACCAGACAACTGCTTGGCAGAGGACTTGATAGAACAGATGTCAGGAGTTGTGTTCCAGATACCCAGAACAGAAAACAGATAAGACCATAGCAAAGGACAAAGCCTATAGCTCCTGAGCTTATTCAACATGTCACCAAAGAGGCTAAATTCCACGTCTCAAGGATGCAATCGAGAAACAGAGTGATGAAGTCCATACAAAAGTGGTTTGAAACTTTGATCAAACATTGGCATCGCCTGGGGAGCTCGAAAAAACACAATGTCTGTGTCCCATTCCCAGATATTGATTTAATGGTCTGGGATATGGCCTAGGTTTCAAGACCTTTAAAAGTCTAACATGGTCTAATGTACAGCTTTAGTGTCGCTGCTGTAGAAGAAAGCTGAACCACTCCTGTGTGTGAGTTGGGGTTGGAGGTAGGGAGGGAAGAGGACAAGGGAAAACAAAGGGAAAGAACAGAGGCCAGCGAGTCCCACATGAAGCCCATTAAAGCCAAGTCAGTCATGTGGTCTCAAGCTGTGTCCCATGCCAGACAAATCCAATCCCATTAGAGTGCCATCACTCCCCCCATAAACTTCAAGAGAGGGTTACTGTGTAATAATTCCCAGGGCTAAAATATGTTAATACCGGGATGCGTGCATATCAATATTCTAAAGAATATTAAAGCAATGTAGTTTATCTCTGGGTTTTGGTCTTAGGAGAAAAAAAAAAAAAAAAAAGCCCAGCTAAGTGATGGAGGTTGGAGAAAGGAGAAAGCATTCATCTCCCGGCATTTTGGCAGCCAGTCAATGTGACTGAAGCATACTCAAAGAGGCAGCCTTATTTTGTGAAGTTATTGCAGTGTCTTTGATCAGCGGGAAAAGCACATCCATTTCAATCACTGTAGCTGGGATGGGCCCGCTGTCTGGCCGTCTGGCTGCCCACCAGAGTGAGCTAGCCTTCAGCCTACAGACACATGGCAGTGCTTAGCATGTCAAACAAATGAGGGGGTTCTTGACTATCTACATAACTCTTGCTGAACTTCAGGGACTCTCTCGTTTAGCAATTTAGCCTGGACTAATCTGGAAGTTCCTTTCCCTCAGTAAACACCACCTGGTCTGGCCTGGCCTCACCAAAACAAAAGCTGGCCAGTGGGCTGTCTGTCACGAGGTAGCCAACACTTCAGAATCAGGAGGGCAGGGGTCAGCCATTCCTATAACCAACACACCCAGGATCACACAAGCCTGGAGAAAGAAAAAGCCGATGGCCACAAACTCCACTCTCCTCCTTTACCTTCACCCTGTCTCAGCCCCAAACTAATCTGAGAGAAGTCTGATTCCTCCCCACAGACATGAATTCTTTGCAATGCAGTTTTAAATATATACAAAGATCACCCACATTCTTTTTACCAGAATAAACAGTTTTTAAAAAATTGATGGAAGAGTTCATCCATTTTCCAACTTGGGGATTTTCAACAAAAGGTTTGGTGGGTTTTTTTTTCTTAAGCGGTATAGTGGTATCGACATGATAGAAAGATTTCAGTAGTAGAACTACAGTAGAGATGGGAATAATCATGATGATAATGACAAAAATTTATATATTATTTATGAGTTCCAAGTGTTTCATGTGTGTTAACTGATTTTATCTTCATCACAACCTAATGAGGGAAGCTATAATAATGATCATTAACAATACTAATTATAGGAATATATAATATATAACAATTATTATTACATACAATAATAGTGAATAACAACAGATAAGCAATCATAATAATCAATCTCCACTTTTCAGATAAGGAAATTCTGACCCCAGAGAAGCTCGGGGACTTACCTGAGGGGTGGGGGCTGAGCTTCGTGCCCAGGTGTCCGGCTCCAGGAGCAGCACTCTAACCAGACCACCAGACTGCCTCCTTCCAGAACACACCTCAGAGCCTCCTTTAAAGCTGCCAGCTCAGAGAGCCAACAGAGTATGGAGGGCTTCTGAGGGCTCTGGACTTAGGGATTTGTGAGTCTGAACCCCAGCTCTGCCACTCCACATCCCACACCTGTTGCATCATCTATAAATGGGGATAATGACACCTACCTCACAGGCTTGTGGTGAGGCTTAAATGACAAAATGAATTAAAAGCACCTCTCCCAGGGTCGGCAACAAACGTCAGTTTAACCCAGTGACTATCAAGCCTGGCTGCCCATTTGAATCAACCAGAAAACTTTTAAAATGCTGATATCCAATCCTCAACCTCCTCATCCCTCTACATTTCTACCTCAACAGAAAGTTAGTCTCAAATCAGTAATCCACTGTGTCCCACCTGGAAATGATACCTGAAGCCCCTCAGACCAAAGACCAGCCTATATACCCTTTGCCACATTGATCGAGAATTACAGGGGAACTTTTAAACCCCTGAAGCCTCTGCCCCGGCTCTAAGACAACAGGATTCCCCCAAATGTTGTTTGATTGGACAAAGAAATTGCAGGTGCCAGGACCATTCCCAACCACTTGGCTAAGCTCATCCTTGTCCAGTGACCTTCCACACTTTCATCAGGACAGCACCTTCACTCAGCTGGCATCATATCTGACTCTCACAGAAGCTGCCCACCGCCCAGGCTGCCTCCCACCTCAGCCACAAGCCCCTGCATAGGAGGAAGCAGCCCAGAAGCTTTCCTGAGAAGCACCTTTCTGTCCCACCATTGCCTGTGTTTTAGAAATAGTCTGTGCCAAGGCCAGGTGTGATGGTTCACACTATAATCCTAGCACTTTTGGAGGCTGAGGTGGGAGGATCACTTGAGGCCAGGACTTTGAGACCAGTCTGGGCAACATAGCAAGATCCTGTCTCTAAAAAATAAGCTGGGTGTGGTGGCATGTGCCTACAGTCCCAGCTATTCAGGAGGTGTGGGTGGAAGGATTGCTTGATCCCAGGAGTTCAAGGCTGCAATGAGCTATGATTGTGCCACTGCTCTCCAGCCTGGAGTGAGACCCAGTCTGCAACAGATTGAGACCCTGTCTCCAAAAAAAGAGAAGAAAAAAGAAATAGTCTGTGCCAAGATCAACACAGTCAGCATTACTTTGACAATGCACTAACCAGAAGATCATGCAAGATGAGAGGTAGGACTGCCTGACTTAGGTTTTAAAATCTGAGTATATGCATACCTGTATGTGTATACACACACACACACTCACACACTCCAAGAACCATAGTACACTTTGTGCTCAAAGAGGGCTCTGCTTCGTTCAAGGACTGGGGATAGAAAGCAGGGAGGGCAGGGGGTAGCAAAAAACAGGGAAGGGAATACCAGGGTTGCCCATGGAAACTGGCAGGAATAAGAAAAATAATCAGCTCACATTTAACAGAAGAGAAAAGCACAGGTCTGGCCCTCCAAGGAGACAGACGGCAGGGAGGATGGGGACCAAGCAATGCCAGTTTCCTGGCTTGGGCTTCCATGCGTCTTTTCAGGACCTACTGCCAGTTGGCAAGAGGTGGCATGGAGGGACGGGGAGGGCCAGAGAGGGGGAAGGCAGCACAGAGGGGAGTTGAAGAGCCACTCACTCAACTGTTTCCCAGAAAGTGAAGGCGCCAAGCAGCCCTCGCGCTCTCGGGACACCTCCCCTCTGCCTCGGTCCAGGAAAGAGCCCAAGAGGATTGTCCGAGGCCTCACCTGGGTAAAGGAGCCATCCTCGCCACACTCTGGGACAAACACAGCTTCCTGAGGCTTCTTGGCTTGCTCCAGGGCTTGAGCCCGCTCCAGGCGACACTTGCTCTGGCCAGCATCTGAAAGAGGAGAGGAGCAGATTTCATATTTCACTTGGATTCGACACTGGGGCCGAGGGACAAAATGGCTGAGAAAACCACTCCACCTGTGCGGGAGCCCACACACAACTAACTGGCTTGTCCAACCCTAAAAGGGCCGTGGCTAGTAACTGCTGCACAGCCCCCCTTCCCCGTATGTCATTCATAGAAAAGCAGAGGATTCGTGTTTATCCCAAGTTCTGCCTGTCTTTTCTCCCAAGTACCTCTACCCTGGCCCCATAGAAAAAAAAATGTTTTAGTTCCATGATTTTTCACTGGGTTTATTCTAAAAGTGGTAAGCCTAACAGGGGCTCAACCATGTCTTATGGTTCAAGAATTGCAACCATTTTCTTTAGAAAATCAGAGGCTCTAGCGCAGCCTGCTTAGCCACCTACAATTCCTGTGATGGCTCTAAGCAGTCCGGGGTCACAAATTCAAATACGTACAGGACTCAGGAAAAAGATATAAATTAGAGAAACCAGCCGGATATGAGAGGAATGACATTCAGTTCTGAGAGACTATAGGGAGTGCTGTAAGACTGTGGCAAACTGGACAACAGGCTCCCCTTTAAAGCGGTAGCTGTTATGCAGGTCTAGCCATGTGTTGCTTTGTAGGAACACAGACCTAATGTTACCAGACCTTCCAATTTTGGAAAAGAAGGACAAAAAGCCAGATTTTTTTTCTTTGAATCTCCCAATTTTTAAATGTTATCCCAAATGTTTTTTGCTGTTTTTAAACAGGCAAACAGACCAAACAAAACACATCTGTTGGCCAACAATTTGGAATCACTATTCAGGAGCCAGCAATAATGTCTTGCGGTTTTAAGCATCTCCATAAAAAGAAAAAGGAAAGCGCTGGCCAGATAGCAGCACATCTCTTTAAGCCCTAGCCTGGGGGCAGTGTTTGAAAGATAGAAAAATGCTCATTCCTTCAGGTAGACCAGGCTTTCTTCCCTTGGCCCTGGTGGAAGGGGTGGAGAGATAGGAAAGCAAAGTGAGTGGACAGACTTACTCCAAGCTTCCCTGTTGCAAATGCATAGTGAGGGAGCTGGGGTGCCCAGGAACCTCTCCTTGGCTGGGCAGGGGTGCACACACTCACCTTTGCATCTACCTCGATGCACCACGCCCAGGGTCGGGTCTCGGCACTTGGCTCGCTGGTACTCACACATGGACTCGTAGGACCTGCCATCAGAGGCACAGATGGGTTTGGGTTGAGTCCTGGAGCAGTGGAGGTTGCACTGTGGGTCACGGTCACTTATTAGAAACTAGGTTGGAAAAAAGTGAAAGGGTACAGAGGTTACTTTTGCAAGAAAAGTAGGGGCGAGTCCATGACTTACAGTACTTGTTTGCCTTTAGAAAGTAAGTCCCTAATAAACCCAAATAAAACCCTAAAGGTGAAGGGAACGGAGCAGCCACAAAGTCTAACCAAGGAAGGCATCCTCTATGCATCATAAGAACAATAATGTCTAACAATTACTGACCATTAACAGGCATTGTGCCAAGTAATTCACATCCAGGATCTCAGTCCTCACAACAACCCTATGAAATAGAAACTCTATTCTGTAGACAAGGAAACTGAAGCCCAGAGACGTAACTTGCCCAGTGTCACATAGCTATAAGCAGTGGAGGCTGAATTAGAACCTAAATCTGTCAGAAGTAAAATCAAAGCTTTATCCTCTAGGATGTCCAGCCTCTTCATCCATGCAGATGGCCATGCAGCCTCTATTTGGGTGTATCCTCAAATCAGGAATATACCATAAATCTCCAAATTCCATCTCGGGAAAGTTTTATTTATTAGATCGTAGTGAGCTCCAAATCTATCATCCCTCCAATTTTTGCCCACCTCTCTCTGGCAGAATACAGAAGTTAAATAATTTTCTGTGAGAAACAGATTTCCTGATTTTTAAAATAACAACAATAATCAGCTTGGAAAATGCTGAGTTAAGCAGATTTTCTTGGTGAAGGGCTTCTCAGATGACTCTGATACATTCTTATGCATTGTGAACCTCCAAGACGCATAGTAAATTAAAGACAGCTACAAATTATTTGCTACTCCTCTCATTGAGCTATGGAGTCTAATTTCCTCTCCCTTGAATCTGGACTGGCCTCAGAAACTTGCTTGACCAAGAAAATACTATGGGAGTGGTGTCTGGGGACTTCAAAGTTAGGTTACACGAAGCCTTGCAGCTCCTTCCTGGGCCTCTTGTAATAATCACTCTTGAGGAAACCAGCTGCTGTGTAAGAAGCCTAACAACCCTGAGACCACCATATTATGAGGAAGCCCAAGTTTACCCATGTCAAAACCATGCAGACAGAGAAATGCCCAACCAACCCAGGCACAGAGACATGCTGAGTGAAGAAGCCTTCAGGTGAGTCTAGTCCCAGCTGTCATCTAATTGCAACTCAGAGAGATGAAAATAAATAATTGCATGAGAGACCCCAAAGTCAGAACCACCCAGCTGAGCCCAGTTAACCCACAGAACTGAGAAAGATTATAATAATAAATTGTTTTAAGCCGTTAAGTTTTGTGGTAGTTTGTTACACAACAATCGACCAGATCAAGGGGCATATACAATGAAGCATCTTCCAGTTACTTAACCATGAACCCCTATATCAGGGAACCCCCTGTTAACAACAACAGAATACAGTTGGAGAACAATAATTGGGCTATTACAATCCATGAGCTTCTGCTCCATAACCCATGATTAGATTGTACAGGCCTTGAGACCTGGGTCCACCCTTATCTACTCCCATATAGCAGAGTCCTGAGCACACAGAATGAGGCTCTTCATCAGATTGGGTTGAGGGAATGAATGTCCCACAATAATGAATGGCAATGTCATGAGCACAAATCAGGCCATCGGTAATCATAGAGTTGACTATGTAATCAAACCAAGCTCATAGAGGTTTTGGGAAGGTGTGAACACAAGCTCTGTCTCTAATGTATTTGTGGGCCCTTTGTGTGAAGCAAATAGATGAGAACTTGTTGACCCTTTTCTAGAACAGCAGAGAAAGTTTCAGAGGTAGTACCACACCCTTCAAGGGAGTACTGGAAATACACACCCCACACTGGCCAAACTCAAAGAGGGCCCGAACCTGTCCATAAATACACAGACCACATCCCAGCTATAAAACCAGTCCCTCCTTGGGACTGGACCTCATGCCTGGGTGCTGGCTGCCCAGCACAGGGATGGAGCAGCTGAGGGCTGAAACCACTGCACAGGCCTTGTCCAAATGGACAGTGAAATTGCGCTTTCTCTTCAGACACCTTGGGCTCCCACGCACTCACAGGTCACACCTGAATCTTGCCCAGGGCCCAAAGGGAAATATCCAGATAGTGTCTCATGAGCACAGCATTTGATAGAGTCCAGTGCTCAGGGGCAAAAATAAATAACTCAGATCATCATCTCCAGAGAAGCCCACTGCCTCCAGGGCTGCCCCACAGAAGAGGGGTGAGCTGACGGGGAGAAATGGGAGAGGACAGCATTGTTCAGTCAAGCCCTGCACACGATCCCCAGCCTCAACCCCCCTCGAGTTGCCCCTGCTTTAAACCCATGAGCTCGGGGACCCTTACATCGTCTCCCCGGCCTGGTGAGAATCAGACCCGGGGGCCCCTCTCTGGCCCTTTGCTCTCTCTTCCCTGCTCCCCCTTGCTCCCTGCTGGTGGGGCACACGGGCCTGCTTCCCATTTATCAAATGAGCTACCTCTGCTGCTACTTCCAGGCCTTCAGGCACGCTGTTCCTTCTCCATTCCCTCCCACCCTGCTTCGGATTTTGGCTCAGGCGGTCTCTTCCAGGAGGTTCTCCCTGACTCTCCCAGGTGAGGACAATCTCCTGTAATACTCTCTCACACTTCATTTTTCCTTCATGGCTCTTCACACAGTTTGTAATGAAGAATTCATTTGCATGATTTGGTTACCAGTGGAATCCCCAGCTCTGAGCTCCATGAAGATGAGAACGATGTCTGCTTTGCCTGTGAACACCTCCCCCGAGCATCTAGCACAATCCTGGGGCCCTCCGTCATGTGTGGGAGGAGTGCAGCCCTGTAGCAGCATCTCATGCCTGCCATTCCCTCAACACCTGCCAGTGGGACATCACAGGCCTGGCTTTCCGGGCTCCTGCCACCCCCAGGGATCGCTGGGGCCACTCCTCATGCCCCTGTGCTTACAGCCTTGCCGTCCTCAGCCATGTTCTCCCATCCCACTTCTGCATTGCACGTGGGCAGAGGTGGCCCAGAGCCTGCCATCTTTACTCCACCTCAGAACAAGAACTCTCATCAGGAGTGTCTTGAGCTGGGCCTGACCTCCCTGGAGGGCAGGGCTGTCTCACCTGGATGTTCAGCATCTGGTGTCTGGCACACAGAGTAGGTGCTTGGTCAACAGTTTTTGACTTTGTGAAGTCCTTTTTGCAGGTGGGCCGGTGTTTCTGTTTGTTATAATGAAAGGCAGTGGGACCTAGTGATTAGAAGCTTGGCTCTGGAGCCCAGCCATGGGTGTCAGTACCAGCAACAGCACCCACATGCTGTTTAACCTTGGAAACGTTGCCTAGCTTCTCTGGGCTTTTAGTTTTCTCATCCGTAAAATGAGAGTAGTAACAAGCCTTGCCTCATAGGGTGGTGTGAAGATTCAATTATTAACATATCCTAAGTCACGTATAAGTTCTTGTTCATCTTCTTTCTTTGGAATTTAATTGAAGGGGGGCGTGGTTTAAGAGAACACACAGAAAAAAGAGGGAGAGGAAGACAAAGTTTCTTTTCAAACCCACTGAGGTTGCCTAGTTGCCTATGCTGCAGCTCACAGGACAGGAGAGCTGCCAGCATCCCCGTGAAGTTGAACTACAGGCCAAAAAATCGGTTTGAAAATGGATTGCTCTACACTGAGAGAGAGGCCACAGCAGCTGTGCCAGAGACCAGCTTCCTAACAAGGGGAACACTCTGTCTGCAAACAGACAGGTTAAAGAACTTCAGAGGCCCCACCCATCCCAACACACAGAGATCATTCTCAGCTTCAGAAGAGCACCCAAAATATTCCTGTCTAGAAATTACTGGTCCCTAAGGCCAAATAAAAAGTTCAGAGATAGCATGGGGTCATTGACAATCTTCAATCAATTATGGTGTCACATTTTCATCTGTTTTAGGAACTGTGTGTATTTGTGATTGTTTTCACACACACAAAAAGTGAGCTCTATAAAATGAAGCTTTAACCAGATGACTATGCCCTAATAAGATCACCCAAAGCTCCAGGGCCCCAAAGGGATTACTCTGTGTCCACAAACCCTCCAGTTCATTCCTTCATCTGTTCAACTGCTCTGTACTCAATAAGTGATCACCAACAGTGAACCCAACACCGTACCAGCATAGGAAGCAACATGTAACCAACATGGTACCCACCCTCAGTGAGATTACCATTTAGGGTGGAGACAAGGAGCATGTTAACAGGACACCATGGAGCTATTAAGATAAAGGCAATAAGAGGAAGACTTAATCCTAGAGACTCTGGAACGCTCCGAAGCCACACAGTTCAAAAGAACTTCTCACCATGATGGACATGTTCTATATCTGTGCTGTCCAGTACAGCAGCCACAAACTACATGTGGCTATTAAGCACTGCAATGTAGCTAGTGCAACTGGGAAATCAAATATTTAGTTACGTTTAATTTTAGTTAATTTAAGTTTAAACGACCACATGTGGCTAGAGGCTACCGTATGCAACAGCCCAGTTATAAAGTAAAAAAACCAAGAGGAGAAGAGAGAGGAGGGAGCGTAGTCTTCAATCGAATTTTTCTCAGTTGAGCCAGGTGAAGACTGATTGAGAGAAAAACAAAAAAGAGAAAAAAGAAAAAGAAAAAAGAAGCTGATCTGGAGAATAATTTCTGCATTTTGAAATTAGACAGTATGTTAGGCCATTCTTGCATTGCTATGAAGAAATACCTGAGGCCAGGCATGGGGGTTCACACCTGTAATCCCAGCACTTTGGGAGGTCAAGAAGGTGGGATTGCTTGAGCCCAGGAGTTCAAGACCAGCCTGGGCAACAGAGAGAGACACTGTCTCTACAAAAAATTTTAAAATTAGCCAGGCATAGTAATGCATGCCCATGGCCCTAGTTACTTGGGAGGCTGAGATGAGAGGATCACTTGAGCTAAGAGGTGAAGGCTGCAGTGAGCCATGATGGTACCACTGTACTCCAGCCTGGGTGACAGAATAAGAATGAAAGGAAAGAAAGGAGCAAAGAAAAGAAAAGAAAGAGGGAGTGAAGGAAGAAGGAAGGGAGGGAGGGAAGGAAGGAAGGAAGGAAGGAAGGAAGGAAGGAAGGAAGGCCGGCCTGAGACTGGGTAATTTATAAAGAAAAGAGATTTAATTGCTCATGGTTCTGTAGGCTGTACAGGAAGCATAACACTGGCATTTGCTCTGCTTCTGGGGAGGCCTCAGGGAGCTTTTACTCAGGGCAGAAGGTGAAGCAGGAGCTTGCATGTCACATGGCAAAAGCAGAAGCAAGAGGGATGGGGGGTGGATCAAACACTTAACCAGATATCACAAGTACTCACTATTGCAAGGACAGCACCAAGCCATGAGGGATGCACCCCAAGGACCAAAGCACCTCCCACCAGGGCCCACCTCCAACATTGGGGATTACATTTCAACATGAGATTTGGGTGGGGACAAATTTCCAAACTATGTCAGATAGAAAATCAGTTCACTATTTATGGGTCAAAACCAGGATATTCCAGGAGTTTGGAGTCGCTCAGGAGCAATCACGGTTGGTGGAAATTTGGGGGATTGGGCAGGAGCAAGCCATCTCTCCAACAAGCCAAACACTGAGACATTTCCTCCTAGAGGGAAATAGCAGTTTTACAGAAATCTTCACTTATATTCCTTTCCTTCTTCCTAACCAAAAGACATTAAAAATAAAATAATAATGTTAAATATGATTGCATAATACAGAAACCAAACAAAAGGAGCTGGGATAATTGTATATCTGCAGTCGTCTCTCCTACCCATTCTCCTTGCAGAGTGGATGACTCCAAACACTCTGTGTTTTGTTCACATTTGTAAAGTAGGATGGATACTTGATATATACATAAACAAGTCATTTTTCCTATTGGAAAAGTAAGCTACTGACTGGGGGCTGCCTTTGCCATGGAGGAGATCAGGGTAGATGAAATCAATTTTAGACTAGTCATCCCCTCCATCTGAAATGCACACATGCTGATTCTTCCCCTTCAGTCTCCAGCATAGTAGAATGGAAGCCCTGCCACACAGCTTTTGCTCAGGGAGACCATCCCAATACCACAAGCTGTGTTAGTTTTGACTGACTGCCAAGTTTCCATGACAATATAGGGAATAAAAGAGCCAGCCTAAGGTTCCATCTGGGAGGAGATGTTTAATTCTTTATAATATAGACCTGTTCTCACCCTCTTAACTTCCACCTGTTAGTATAATGCTGACTTAACCAATATCTAAAATCTAAACAGGTATTTTTCTGGTAATATGCATACTCGTATATTTTTCCTGGGTGTAGAGAAGGAGACGATAGCCATGCTAAACAACCATGTCAGTGGTCTATCCACTGGATTTGGGAGAGTGAAGTCCACAATTTGGAGCAGCAAGTGACATTTCTCTCTGTGATACCATACTCAAAAATCACAGGCCAAACTCAAATTAATTTTAGGTTTTTCTTTAATAAATTCATATGTAACACAGCTTCAAGTACTCACTTTCAACCTTTTTGCTTCACTTATCTATTGGAGCAAAACAAATCACCCCTAAACTTAGCAGCTTCAAACCACAATTTATCATTTTTCATAATTATGTGGGTTGGCTGGGCTCAGCTAGGAGGTTCTTCTGCTCCACATGGTACCACCTGAGGTAACAGATTTGACTTCACTCAGTTGGGAGCTTGGCTGGGGCTCTGTCTCCAACAGGCTTTCCTGTCTTATCCATGATGACTTCATTTAGTCCTTTATCTCTTGCCTGGGCGTTTGATTCTTTGGCACCAAACTTCTGCCCCCATCCCTACCCCTAATCCAAGTTCAAATTCCACATTGCCACTGAGGTTATCATCCTAAAAAGCAAATACTTTCATATTTTAAACACCACCATTAGCTTCCTTGGCACTCCTGCTGCACTGTGTTTATACTTCTATCAAAACCCTCGATATACTGCATTATCATTTATCTATTTACACGTCTATAAAAGATTGTGTCTTATTCCTCTTTATATACATAGGGCGTAACACAGCACCTTACCAAAAAAGTTTGTTCAGTATATGTTTGAGGAATGAATGAATGAATATCAAACCTTACCTAAAATATATCATGAAGAAGTAGCTCTTTTTTCTGTCACTTACTGTGAAAAGAAATATTCTTTGTCCAACTACCAACAATACCTTAAAGCTCTCAAATGTATAGTGATTAAAGGTATTTGTTCCTTTCTTTTCTTTAAAGGAACATCTATCTCTTAGATAATAAAAGTCACATCTTAAACATGGTATTTTTTCCTTGGAATAATGGAAATGAAAAAAATCTCTAAGAGGATATACCAGTATGGCTGAGATAGTACCCATATATCACTAAATCATCATGGAATTCATTCCCAATGAACCTGGCCTTAGCCTCCAGGAAGCCTTTCCACCATCCCAGAGATGTCATCTCACCCATAACTCGGGCAGTATCTGAGACTCTAGATTGATGAGCCTGAAATTAATATATGTCAAGGTGGAAAACTCTGACAATTTAACGGCCAATGTGATTAGCACTCTAGTTTTTCGGGCAGCTACCATACGCATGCACTTGAGTAAGAACAATAGCCAGATGGAAAAAAAAATCAGTTATAAGTCAATTTTTTGACACCCTAAATTCATTTTTCTATAGCCTCAACATCGTAAATAATGGTGAGTTTTCTCCACCTGCAAATGTCCAATCTGCAAATGCCTATTTGGAAGGAAAGGGAAGGAGAACAATCCATACATGTATGCCTGCTGGGTGGTAACAGGCAGGGCAGAAACCACAGCCCAGCTCTGCAGCTCCTTCCTACCTCTGGACTGTGCACACGCCGGCCCCTTTCCCTGGAATGTGCTTCCACCTGATGAACTCCAATTCCGGGGTAAATGCTGCTGCCTTCCAAAACAGGTCGGGATCCCTGTAATGAGCCCCCAGAACACCCACTATGGTCCACTGTGGCCTGTGCCATAATTGTGATTAAAATGGCCCATCATTTAATTTTACATTGCTTGTCCATGCCCCTCCACCGGACTGTAAGCTCCCTGAGGGCAGAAACCAAGATCTGGGTGTGACACTGCTGCATCCCCAGTGCCCAGATGAGGCATTTAATCAATATGTATGGCTTGAATGAATGAGGAGAAAACCGAGGCTGGGCAAGGTTAAGTCAGTAAGTGGTAGAGCACTCCTCTCAGTCTGATCCTCACAGACCAGATTCTTTCTTCCACACCACACTGCCTTCCTCAATGTAGGGATATCAGACACTATGCCCCAGATGCCACTGAGGGGCAGAAAGGGCTTTGCTGTCAGCTCTGGCAACAGTGGTTTGGGTCTATAGTAGTTGCCCCCAGGAGAACAGAAGAGGAGAAGGGCACCAGAAGCAAAAAGAGCTCTCCCAAGAGAGGGGATGTTTTTCTGTCTTGTTTGTAAATCATGGTCCAGCTCAAGTTTTTAGAACTCAAGTACTAAAAAGCATTTCTGGGAGGTAAACCTGCTATTGAAAGGGGGGGGAAAGCCACTCTTGGAGCCAATGCCTGGAACAAAAAGCAGAGAATCACATTCCAGACGTCTAGCTGCGGCTCAGCCGCTTGCTCTCCAACCTGGGACTGTTCGCCTCTCACCACGTCCTTCACCATCTGCAAAACTGGACTTTGGCCTTCTTCTCTGGGGCCTGCATCCTTGGGAATGGAGAGTAGTTTCCCATTAAAACATCACTCACCCACCCACTATCAAATTCGTCATCTGCATTAAAAATCCACATCCCTATATCTGCCAGCTCGCTCTCACCCTTCCCTGACCCCATGACCACTGAATTTACACAGGTGCAAAGAAGGGCCTCGACCTGCTGGCTTCAGAGGGGGGCTCCGTGAAGATGGAAGAGGGAAGATAAGGGAGGTCAAAGGGAAAGAGAGGCCTGCCAGCAACAGCAGCATCTGCTCTTCCTCCACACACCTCTGCGACAGAGCCTGACAGCAGCATGCCCGATTAAAGGGCTTTTCACGCTGCTGAGGGAAAGCAGACACCCCCTCCAGCTGTTGGGCAGCTGGAGCCACTTCTGTTGTTTTAGCCAGGAGAGGCCTGACCTTCATCACCCCACCACCACCCCCTCCCCAAGGGAGGAATTTAGCAGTCACTTCACCCCACCCACCCGACTTCCCTCCTCCACTGTGCCCCCCACCACCAGCAGCCACAGGGATGATGGGCCAGGGCCCAGGGGAGAAGGCTCTCTTACACCAGGTGCCACTGTGTAGGAAGGCAGGAGAGAGGAGAACCCATGGGTTTGACAAAGCAGCTGAGACCCTGGATCTAAAGAGACCCTAATAAGAACGCAAACGGGGCCAAGTTAACCTACATGCTCCCAATCCACACAGAGTCTGTCTGCAGCCCCAAACCCATGCTCCTTCTCAATCTTTCAGAAAAGCAGGTGCACATAAAGTGAGGGTTAAGGCCCAAGTCATCAAATTTCCAAAAAAATAAAAATAAAGCATTATTCCAAATGAAAGAAGCCAGACTCAAAAAGTTATATACTATATAATTCCATTATGTGACATCCTGGAAAAGGCCAAACCAAAGTGACAGAAATTGGATTAATGATTACCAGGGACTGGAGATAAGGAGAGAAGCAGGAGAACATGTTTGTGGGCGATGGAAATATTCTAGATCTTGATTATGGTAGTGGTTACACAACTATATAAATTTGTTAAAATTCATAAAAGTGTACACCTAAAAGGGGTCAATTGTACTCCACGCAAATTACAACTCAGCAAACAAACAAGATAAAAACAATAAACACAAAACTAAAGAAAAAATTCCAAAGAATGTTTGCTTTGAAGGGCACATCAGACACCCCCATAGGCACTCAGAGAAGTTTCTGGCGATTTCTCTGCCCACCCCCTTTAATACAAGCCACCATGCTAGGTACATTGAGGATTATGAAAATAAACAAGAACACAGGCCCTGCCCCTACAAGCTGATCTAGTTGCAAAGACTGACATGTGGACATATCTCCACTGGGGCTGCATTTTTGAAACCAGGAAGCAAAGCCTAAGTCACAAACAAACAGATAGGATATGGGAAAATGGGATGCCAGACAATCCAAGATGTGAGATGGTCACAGCAAACTCGTAGAAAGGAAAAGAGAGGATAGGAGAGGCAGGGAGGAAGGAAAAAGAACCATCCATTTGGCAAAGACTCACTGAGCACCTATTATGCTTCAGGGCTCTGCTGAGTGCTGGACAGAGCAGCTGACACTGTGTTCTGTAGGGCTAGAAGGAGAGGTAAATTCAGACTGAAAGGATCCAGGAGAATTTCTCAGGGAAGGAGCCATAAACTGGGTCTTAAAAGATTTTCACAAGTAGGAAGGGATGTTGAAAGGACAAGCTAAGAGAATCACAACAGGTACACCTAAGTACACAAGCAAAGTAATTTCAAGATAGAGTTTAGAAATGACCCTTCATAGAAGAAATCAGCCCCTAGGGCCAGGTTGGGGAGAGATCATAGAGGATCCTAAAAATTCCCAGCTGTCTTTGGTGTTTTGTTTTGTTAAAAAACTGAAAGCCAATGAAGGAAGTAAAACACAAACTCAGATCCGAGCTTTGGAAATCTTTGGCAAGGGTATGAGAGACAACAGAGAAGACACTTAGGAGGTTACTAAGCTTGAATAAGGCAGCAGTGGGGATGGAAAAGAAGGGGCACATTTGGGCCAACGAAGGGGCTGGGTGTCCTGGGTAATAAGTGTGGCCACACTGTAGATGATGAGCTTAGCAAACCCATCAGCAGCCCCCAAGAACTACAGCCTAGTCAAAGGCAATGAGTTTCTGAGTGCTACACTAGGCATCTACATGCACGCTGCCTCCTCCTGAGAGGTGGTTACCCCAGGCTGAAAAGCAAATGCGCCAGGTGGAATCTGGACCAACTGGATGAAATAAAAGCACCAAGAACCAAATCCTATCACTGTCTTATGGAACAGGGTTGCTGCCCATGGAGAATATCAGTGGGCTTTGTCGCTGCCCTACAGGACTTCCACGAGGCTAGGTAGGGCAGGGCGGGATGCCAGAAGCATGCATCCTCGTGAGAAAGAAGGAGAAAGGAGGACAAGTGGAGATCAAAATACTTCTTTGCATGAGTGGAGTCCTACAACTTAAATGCCCTTTAGGTTTTAGTCCTCCTTGATCACCGACAGGGCATCAAACCTTTTACTCAGAGACGGAAGGCATTTATTTTTATTTTCTGCTTGTGCACACACACCCCTGCCCTGTCACTAAATACTAGGGAAGCAGAGGCTGGAGAAAGTCACATGCCCATTCCCTCTCCTCATCCCTCAAAGTCTGCCACCAGCACAAAAACTCCTCTCACTACAAATCAAATAAACAGAGAGCTCTCCAGGACCCAGGGATCCAGATATTTTTAATCCTCTCAGCCCACTAGCATTGAGGGAAAAAAAATAGAGATTAAGCTGATGGTATTAACAAGGAGCCACAAAATGGTCTTACACTTGGGGTGCATCCAAGAGATCATGGATTATAAGAGAGGACTTAGACTTGTGGGGGTGCAAAGGCAAAGAGGACAAAGAAGGAGTTTCTTCATGCCTGTTTGGTTCTAAGCGTCCTGCCCTTCCTCCCAATGACACACACATCTGATAGGAAGGGTTTGTTAAATTAGCACCATCGCTCCACCTGGCAGGAGCAATTTATTCAGCCAAGGGTAGTAACTCCTTATAAAGTTATCCTGAACACTCCTATGAGATCTGACCAGCAATATGCTCTAAGTTTTCATTGAGCATTACTAAGAACACAAATATCTAGCATGGCACTGAGCCTGCTGGCTTGTGGCAGTGAGCGCTGGATACTCCTGTGCCACCGGACCCTGGGCCACCATCCTCAGCTCATCATCACTGGTAGCTCTTTGCACCCAGTGATATGTGAGATGTGTTTTACCACTAGGGGACTGAGGGAGAAGTTCAGTGGGGAGTGGGGAAGATGGCTGGGGTTGGTCTCAATACAACTGGGTGCTGGGCAGTGACTGAACCCCTCTGGTTGGAAAGACAAGATCCCAAAACAGACAGAATTGTTTTCGCAAGAGACTTGTAGAGATTCTGGACAAAGTGGGAGATGCAGAAGCTGAAAGTGGCATCCAAAAGATTCAAGTTCCCCTTGAGAGATTCTGGGCACTCACAGAGCTAGATGGCAAAGAGAAACAGAAATGAGGTGGGTCCTTCTTCCCACCTCTGCATGAAGCCCATCCCTGCTCTGGCACCTGAATCGACAGCTTTGGCAGCAGTGGGAGATAGTCCCACTCACCTGGACCTGGCTTTCACCATGGGCACAGCCAGCACTAAGCATCCTTTGGGCAAAGAGGAAATTATAACTTATTTGTGCAAGTATCCAAGGCACACCAAAGTGGGGACTAAGGGGAGTTACTGTTTGAGCAGATGAGGGTCTTAGAGTCATTGTAATTTAGGAGTAAATGTGAATGTGGCACTATTGTATAATCACAGACAGAAGAGAAATGGAAATACCAGTTATCAAAAAGTTATCAGAATAGAAGCTAAGGGGAGACTGGGTCCCTTTAGCAGACTGTGGGATTCCAACAGGCAGCCCCAAACTTAGAGAGAACTTGCAAAAGCCAGTAAGATCCAGAGATTGGTTTTCCATAAAGATGACACTGGAACTGGCTGTGAGACAAAATGTCTTAGTGACATGGTTTGGCTATTTCCCCACCCAAATCTCATCTTGACTTGTAGCTCCCATAATCCCCACATGTGGTAGGAGGGACCCGATGGGAAGTAATTGAATCATGGGGGTGGTTTTTTCCCATGCTGTTCTCATGATAGTGAATAAATCTCACAAGATATGATGGTTTTATAAAGGGCAGTTCCCTGCACACGCTCTCTTGCCTGCTGCCATGTAAGATATGCCTTTGTTCTTCCTTTGCCTTCCACCATGATTATGAGGCTTCCCCAGCCCTGCTGAATGTGAGTCTATTAAACCTCTTTCCTTTATAAATGACCCAGTCTTGGGTATGTCTTTATTAGCAGCGTGAGAACAGACTAATACACTCAGTAACTCACAATGTGGCTGAAATGAAGCTAACCTGGCCCAGAGTCCGACGGAGAGTTTGAAAGGGGTGGGAGTTGGATAGTGCTTTAAATAAAAGGGCTGATCAGCTGAACCTGTTCATGAGCTGAGGCATGTGTGCTTCCATCAGATGAACACAGCGACATGCGTGCACACACCCTCACACTGAGAAGAGCCCTTAGGAAGTCATCGTTTGGAGGGCACAATCACTGGCTCTTGTTCAAGAGTCTAGGACCAAGAATGTGGAAGAAGAAAGCTGCCAGCTAAGTTACTTGCAAAAACAATAGCACTGGAAGTCTTTGTTTTCCTCCCCTCTGGATCTGCTCTGCATCACCAGACATAAGACCTCCGATATCACAGTATGTTCCCCAAAGGAGGTGAATGGAGACCTTATCAGTGTCCTATAAGAGACCCTCACGCCACCGACAGAAGTCATGGACACTGCTTGTCCCTCCTTCAATGAGCCAAATGGGCCAGGTGAGCCCCACCCAGTGTGCTTCCTGCTCCATCCCCAATACAGCAGCAGCCCAACAACATCTTAAGGGGTAAGAAGCCCAAAAGCCACTCTCCAGGCCTGAGCCACTGAACCTGCAAGACAGACTCTCCTCTTGCTGGGTCTCCTTTCTCATCCTGCTGCAGAGCTGCCGTTAGCCCTCACGACGCCACTACACGGGATTCTTGGTGTTGCTGCTATTCGTTTTCTAACCTTAGAAAATATTTATCCACTCGCATATTGTGCTTTTACCACCGACTGTTCCCCTTATCAATACAAAAGGGCCCAAAACAGCCTCAACATAGCCCACCCACGATAAAAGACTGCCACACAAATTCTAAACATAGCAGGAAGAAGAGGCAGAGTACTATACTCTCCCAGCCCCTGGAGAGTATGTCATGGCTCTGTAATAACAAAATGGAGAACTGGTATATTTCAGTGTCATAGGATTATCATGAAGGAAAATGTCATTTAAGTGCCTGTTTAATTTGGGTGAAATCCTATGGCATACACACAGGCTCATCTTCATTTCCACTTACACAGTGGAGAGATTTACACTGACAAGGGAGATAACAGAGGAAGAAATGCTTTATCCACAGCACTTGAGGAAATCCACTCCCTTACAGCACTAAGCCCTGGGAATGAAGCTGAGCAAGTGCAGGCTAAAACAAACAGAAGAGGAAATCCCAGTCTTGCTATATCATCGAATTCTGTTGGGGCTGTGTGTGTTTAACTCGTGTGCTTCCTTTCATTGCTATTTCCACTGTCATTTGAGATCCTGCTGTACTGATTGATGCCTGGCTTCAGATCACCAAACACAAAAGCACATACATGCACACATGTGAGCATGCATGTGTGCATACCCTCAAACACACACACAAAATGCTTTCGAAGTCACAGGCAAAAGGGGAGAAGAAATAGCTTGGCCCGTGTGGGACTGGCGGTGGCGCTGGTGCTGTCAGACCATCTCAAGCTGAAAATCCCCACTGCGTCGCTCAGACAAGGATTGATGACCGCTGCCCAGGCCCCAGGCTCACGTCTGACTTCGCACAACTGTGAGGCTGTTCTGAGCAGGAGAGAAATCCTGTTGACCCAAACTGGGCCAAGGAAAAGTAAATAAAACCATGTCAAATTCTACAGGCAGGAACGGGAGATCAGTGGAAAACCAAAGCAAACCCACTCCTGAGGGAGAGAAAGAATGGTTCTTCCATGTACTAACCCTTTCAGTTCCAGGGCAGAGCAAAGATCTTTCTTTTAAGGATAAAAACCTGTATTTGACTACGAGGATCTTTTTCTATTAGTCCAGACATTTATAACCCTTAAGGTCAGATTTCCCTCAAACATGGGATTAGGCAAACTGATTGAGAGACCCTTGCTTTTGCACTTAGCAGATCCCATCTGTTAAGCAGTCCTGTAGAAACAAGATAGCAAGGGGTGGGTGGATCTACTCCCAGAGAGAATGCAGGGCACACCAAGCAAAGCCTGCACACTCTCAAAGAACGGGAACTCCACAGGCTTTTCTGATGCGAAGGATAACACCCAAAAGACTCGGTACTAAAGACTTTTCACCCAGCCTTCAATGCAGTTCTCAAGACTTTTTATTGACCGGGGAAATGCTCACAATATAAAATTAACTAAAACCAAAGCAGAATATCAAACATGTATATAAATATACATACATATAATACATACTTATGTGTGTATATATGTAAGTAATCTTCCTCCCACTCCAGACAGAAAAAGAGAAAGACAAAAGATAGGAAATATACCAAAATGTTAATAGTGACTGTCTCTGAATGGTAGGAACACAGATGGGTTATAGATGGGTTTGGCTTTTTTCTTGGCACTTTTCTTTAGTTCTAAGTTTCCTAAAAAACACCTGTTTTAAAGGGATGAGAGTGAGGCACACACAGAATCCAAACAGATTGACCCAGACCTGCCTTTAGCCAAGTTGCACCCAAAGTTCTACACCAAATTCTGCTGTCACCTCAAAAGCATCCAACGCTGGCCGGCAATGGCCCACACAAGGCCAGGGACTGAGCGAAGCTTGCCCAGACTCGCAGTGGGAGGGGAAGGAGGAAGGATGCCTTCTCGGCTTCTTGATCTCTGGAAGTCGGATGGGGTTACTTGTTCCTCTGTGTCACACCTACGGTTCTCAGTTCAGCACAGAACAACTCAGTGTCCTTTCTCAACAGTGTCATTAGCATTACAGGCCCAGATGCCCTCTCGGGCAGCGTCTACCCAGGCAACTGCATCCTCACCACGTAGTCTCCCTCTTCAGCTCAGATGACACAGACAGGCAGTCTTCAGCCTTCCCTATGATGCAGCTCTGAATCTCACCAGTTGGGATGAACTCTAATGTCCCAAGCCAAAGTGGTGCTGTGATAGGGGCTGCCAGCGGCACTCAGCAGCCTCTCTAGGGCACACATGTAACCTGTATGGGCCCTTAGACTAGAAGGTGACAAACGGTGGTGATATGTCGTCAACTGGGAGAATGGGGGAGAAATGAAAATCACAGGGCCAAAAATAAGACCTTGCAAGACATGCAGCTCTAGCTTCAGGTAGGGGAGGGATGTGGAGGGACATTGGCTCTCCCATCATTGCTGAAAGATGCCCTTAGGACAAAACTCCCCTGGCATTCGTTTCCTTGCAAAACAATTCAAAACCTGAAGGTAGTTTCATACACTAGCTCCACAACTTGCCACATTCATTCATTCCATAAAATTTACTAACCCCCTTCTAAGGTCAGCCACTGTGCTAGGCACAGGATCTGCAGGGAGGGGCACACTGCCATAGTTCCTGCCCCTCATGGTCCTGTGGACGCAATCCTCACTGTTCCTATTTCACATCCTTCTAGGGCCTTAGTACCCTTGAGCTGCGGAGTCAGGTCCCAGGCACAGACTTCAGAGTGGGGATACACCAAAGCACAACCACCCCCGTGCTGCCACCCACATGTAGCAAGCTCCTTGGAGGAGGTTCTTCTTGGTCTGGGTCACAACACAGGTGTCTCTTTAAAAGGCAATTCCGTTCCTGACCTGATCCAGAAAAACACATCAACTCTAAAGAGACCCCAGCAAACTAGCTGGAAGAGGGGCTCGGGAGGCCACAGGCCAACTTCTGAAGTTGCTCAAGCTAATCAGAGTACTTAGGCTAGGTTAAAATACAGGGCTGACTGCCTTCTGATCGGCCTCCAAAAAGATAGGGCTAAGGATGACTTGTGCTGGAGTGTTTGGTCTTGTATAAGAAACTATTTCTTCTAGGGAAAGCAGAAAAAGACAATTTTCAATTTTCTCCTTTTTACCTCGATAAGGTATATCTCCCCAACTTTTGGTGCATTTAAAAGCATCTCTGAAGGAGACACTTAAAATAGAGGTTGCTTTACCTTAAACAGATTCCCCATGCCAGATCTAAATCTATTTGGGGTCCCTGTCTCCACCAGAAAACTGCCTTAAAAATTATATTTTAGTACAGAAGTTCCAAGAAAGAAGACTACATTTATCTAAAACCTAGACTATAAAGCACCCAATTGCACTGCTGAAATTTTACAGCATTCTAAGAGGGAATTAGAGAGGAAGAAGTCATAGTAGAATAGAAATAAGTTTCCAGGGGATTCTCATTTATTGTATGCCTTCTATGTGCCAGGGGCAGGGCTAAGAATTTTAAATAAATTATTTTAATTGATCCTGACAACCACCCAAGAGGTAATCTTCTGCATCCCACTTTGCAGATGGAAAAACTGAGACTCAGAAAAGTTGAGCAATTGATCAAGGCCATATAATCAGAATTCAAACCCAGACCTATGGCTCCATTATATGTCAGCCAACAAGGACCAAGGAACTGTGTGAAGATCCAAAGGAGCTAAACCCTCAATCCAGCCTTGGACTACGTAAAGGCTCAGCAAATGATGTTTTTGCATAATTTAGTAAAGAAGATGTAGGTTTCTAAGATCCTACCACCACATTCTTACCTCCTCCCATCTATTCCCTTAAAAAGGAGAGGAGTAGGACTAAACAAAGATGCTGAGTCCTTCAAAGGCCATAACACCTGGACCTCAGCAGCAATTTTTCTAGGACCCAACACTTCTCCCCTGTGGTTCAGTCCCACCCCATCCTTCCTGCCCCATCTGGCTAGATTGGAGATTGCTCTGTCTCTCTCCTGGGGAGCTGCTCTCTAACATAGCAGGACGAAAATATGAGGGACAAAATTCAGAATCAATGCCATTCTATTTCTGATGTGGGGGAAGGGGCTGTCCTCATGTATGCCTCGGTGGATGGAGATGGATGCCAGACTAACTCAGTGTCAAAGCCCTGGGCCAATGACAATACCCCAGTCGTCAATCAGGTGTGATGCTTCTAACAGAAACGAGATGTGAGCCTTCAACGGGACACAGCAAAGAAAGGGGTGCTGCTTGGGAAGGTCCTCTGTACTGGGCAGAAAATGCAAGGCAGGCGGTAAAAACATGGACTTTCAGTGAGACACACCTGGGATCCAGTCCTTGGTCCTTGGACCTTGATCAAGATACATACCTCTATGAGCCTCAGTTTCCTCATCTGTTAAGGCAGGGAAATATGGCAGTTACAGTATCGAAGATGTTCTGAGAATAAAGGAGTGGGTTGGCACATAAAAACTGTTTGAAAAATCTTAGATGTTACTACATTAATACTTCTATTATTGACTAAATCAGTTTTTTAAACTGCATCCCATGGTTTCAACATACTTTCACTGAAGTTAGCAAGGATTCTAGATATTGGTTTGCAAACAAAGTCAAAGTTCGTATATTTTGTGAAATAGCCAATTTTCTGGCCAGGCGCGATGGCTCATGCCTGTAATTCCAGCACTATGGGAGGCTGAGACAGGCAGATCACTTGAGGTCAGGAGTTCAAGACCAACCTGGCCAACATGGGGACACCCTGTCTCTACTAAAAATACAAAAATAAGCCAGGCGTGGTGGTGTGCACCTGTAGTCCCAGCTGAGACATGAGAATCGCTTGAACCCAGGAGGCGCAGGTTGCAGTGAGCCGAGATCACACCATTGTACCCCAGCCTGGGCAACAGAGAAGGAATCTGTCTAAAAAAAACAAAAACAAAAAAATGTCTTTTACATTTGTGTGAGCTCATTTCTTTCTAATTTTGTATTACAGTGATTTTTAACACACAGCTGTATAAAGAACCATGACAAAAAGAGGTGGAAGATATTTCGAGTTTTAAATTCAGAAACAGTACATGTGTTAACTAACCGTAGTGAAAAAAAAAGTCTTTCATTTTTCAGAAACAGCCATAATGAATTTTTAAAAATAATGAACATTTTAAATGGGAGAACGATGTTATTACAAGCCTACAACTGCCATCCTGTTTCTGAAAATAAATAAAATACTAGTACACTAAACATCTACTTTTTGTTTAGACCTTTCCCAGAAGGGCCACTGGGTTGAAGTAAAAGAGTAAGATAAAAACTATATCGTAAAGATGTATTTTGTAAGAAAACTTTACCCTTTTTCACCTGCGCTTGCTATGGGTGAAACGGATCAGAGAATCGATCCGTTTAAACTTTTGCTCTGCACCCCATAATGTATGTCACCCTAAGTATACTCATCATTAAAACTCTCTCAGTGGTCTGGCCTCTGAGGATGCAGTCTGATTTGGTGTAAGAAGAGTTCCATGTCTTCAAGAAATTTTAAAACTACTGCCCTAGGTTGGTGTAGTCTTGCACAGCTTCCGTCAGAATTGCTCAGAATGTCTCATCGGCTTACAGAAGGTGACAGAAGAACTGCTGCCAGCGTCCCCAAAATACTTCCAGCCCTGCCAGAGCTGCCTTTGCTCTGCACCCCCCGCCCACTCCATCACAGCTCCTGTAAGTGGTCACCAGGAAAAAGCCGCACTGCCCTGCCAGTGTCTCTCCATCTTCCGGCACAGGGGCTCCCAAAGCACAGGGGTCGGTCCCCAGGACCACAAAGCCGCCTTTGAATGAATAGAGCAGAGGCCGGCTGTGATATCAGAACAA
Organism: Homo sapiens; assembly: GCF_000001405.40. Lineage (NCBI taxonomy): Eukaryota > Metazoa > Chordata > Mammalia > Primates > Hominidae > Homo > Homo sapiens. The sequence continues at coordinate 69,932,617 of NC_000014.9, read as the reverse complement.
AGACTGAATGTGCCTAATCCGGCCTTTGAGAGCCGGAGGAGAGGGCTGCACCTGTATGAACAATGCTGCATCTGAAGCCCAAATGGCACCGAAAGGTTCCTCCAGCTCCCACTGCCCCCATTCCTCCTGATGCCTTTGTGGCGGCTTTGTTCCTCACTTCTACCACTCCTTTCACTCAGCACACCCCCAGCCCCAGGGACAGGAGGAGGCATGTGGGGCTGAGGGTGGCGTGGTAGTAAAGTCCCGGAAGGCCCCAGCGCAGCAGAGGAAGCTCATCACCTGTAACATAGTCGTGCATTCTACAGCAAAACAGCAAGTTTACTATAAAGCCACTGACCCCCTCCTGAGCCCTTCAGGAAGCTGTTCCTGTTCAGGGGCTGTGCCTGTGGCTTCACACATCTGCAGGCAAAACAAAGCACCCCGCTGGTGGACTCGTGTTTTGCGAAACACAGAGGGTAGTGGTGAAGAAGGGTGTTCCCGTTCCCTTGAGCATGCCTTCACCATACAACCCACCACGCACCTGTTGGAGGGTTGAGGAACAGCTCGGGTTCTGAGGAACGGGATGGCAAAGCCACTCTTTGGACTGCCAGAACAGGCGGATGCTCCATGGCTTTGGCCCTGGTGAGGTCAGTGCCCCGCTCCCTGCGCGACACCTGCTCCACTTCTCATCCCACGCCTTGAGGTATAGCTTGACTCAAGCTGCGTCACAGGAGGGAAAAGTGAAGAAAGCCCTCAGCTAATGACAAGAATCAGAAGTAGAAAGGCAGATTCCAGCCAAAAGTCTGTAGTCCTTTAACTGGACACTAAAGCGTGGCCATTTCTTTCTCTCCTTCCCCACCTTTCTCCATGTAAACCTTGACAGCTGCCACCGCCACATCCCCTGATTTTCAGGAGAATCTTCTCTTATTTTTCATAATTGTGGTAAGACCTGGTACTGCCATAGTCTCCCTCAGCCATCCTTTCTAAACATCTAATGGCTCTCTAGAAATCCTTCCTTAAATCCAACCTAAATCCCTTGTGCTGCAATCTAAGCTTATTTCCTGTTGATCAATTCAACAATTATTTCTTAAGTGCTCATTAGAGGCTTGACCCAGCGCCTGCTGTCAGCTCCCAAAGAACATGATCTGGCTCCTTCCTCCAAAAGCCAATGCTCTGGGTCAAGAGAAAAGACCAACAAACAAGGAAGAGCTATACACTGCCCGCCTGTCATGGAATTGTCCAGAGGACGACAGCGAGTGGAGCTGAAGGTCTTGGAGAAGGAGGAGTTGGGGCAGCTGGGAAGACTGCCCGGAGGGAGCGGGACTCAGGCTGCCCCTTGAAGGATAAATAACATTTGGCCTCATGGCTGAGACGAGGAAAGGCATGTCAGGCAGAGGAGAGCACCCTGAATAAAACGGCCATGCGTGCGCAGGAGACAGAGGAGACGCCCATGTGGCTGCTGCCAGATGTCTGTGTGAAGGTGGGATGGCTCCCTCAAGACAGCCGAGCCTCAGTTCTGTGGCCCAGAAAGAACCCGTGGAAGCTTGGGTAGGAAAGTCACTCCATAAAACTGATGTTTTCAGCTGCTTGTTCTGGCCACAGAGGGCAGAACAGAGTGAAGGGGAAAGAGAATAAATGCAAAATGGACAGTTAAGAGGCACTGGCACAAATGCAAGCATGAGGTGTTGACAGCAGCCCGGGCTACACTGTGGCAGTGGAGATGGAAAAGAAGAATCAACACAGGAGATGGTTTAGAGGAAGATTCTGGAAGCAGCTGTCGCCATCTCTGGTTCCAGCCTACTTCAGCAAATGCAATGGAATCAGGTCACCCCCTGCATTCCCAGCTCCAGGCCAAGAGCTGCATCAGGCACTGGGGTGCGAGTGTCCTTGCCTGGGAAGCCGGCTTCAGAAGCCACTAGCTGGCCAGGCTCTCAAGGTCCTCCCTTGACAGAGCTTTTCTGAGGCCTAAGCCCTGAGGCCCAGGAACTCCCATTTCCTGACCCTTTCTCTTGCATACCCAGGGGCCCTTCCTCAGACCTCCTACTCCTAAAACCCCAGCCCAGTGACCTGGCTGCCATCACTTACCCAGAAAAAGTGGCTGGAACTGACTCGGTGTTGTTCCTCTGCACCCAGTCAGCTGCTAAGGGGAAAAACAGCCCTGCCCCAAAGCCACAGTTTGGTTCAAGCAATTTAAACATAATGTTGCACAAAAGAGGACTCGGTTTCTGCTCACCCTCATGCCAAGAGCACATCCATCCAACCTGAGCAATGTTTTTGGCACATCGCAAGTGCCCCTACAGACCTCTCAAGTGAGGTGATCCGGCAGCTGACGGCCTTCTGGGACGGGCAGTGTGGTGGGATGGGCAGTGAGGTCCCTCGGTAACTGGCTGGAGAGGTGCAGAGGTGGGAAGGGTGCTGTCAGGGGGGTGAGAAGGGTGCTGTCAGGGGAGTGGGAAGGGTGCTGTCAGGGGTACAGTCACTGGGGATGAAAGGGGTGAGGGCAGAGGTGGGAACAGAATCAGGAATGATCCAGAAGCCAAGCAGCAGAAGCACATGTGGATTCCACAGCCCATCTCTGAAGTGGATACAGGGGTTGGGGCTGCTCCCCCAGCCACGTCTCTGCCTCCCTAGGGGAGGGTCACCACAGATGTGGGGCCGAACTCTCAAGTCCTGTACCAGACCCTACTTGCATCTCCAGAAAAGAGACTGATCCTAGCTTGGCCCAGACACCAGGAAGAGGTTTCTGAGTAAGAAGGCCTCTCTTTTCCTTCGTCAGCCTAACGCCTCTGGGGCTGCCTCCTTCCCTGTCCGACCAAGAAACAAGCCCCACAATCTGGCCAAACTCCCAATTACCAGTAAGAAGCAGTTCCACCTGTGTTTAATCCAGAACCAAGAAGCTCTTTATTGAGTTGTACTTTTCCCCCGGGAGATCATATCCCTCCCTTCTTCTCCAGGGGCTTGGATTCCCAAAGAAGCCTCCAAGATTCAATACTCTGGCTTCCCTGAGCCCCAGGCTTCCCTCTCACACAGCTTCCAGGACATGTCTCTAAAACACCCCAATGTCTTAGAAAGCACTCGGTTTCTCAGGCATCTCTGTGGCCAACGTAGCACAGTAGTTAAGAGTATGGCGTTTAGAATCAGACAGACCAGGATTTCAAATCCCAGCTCTATGACTTACTTGCCGCATGACCTTAGGCAAGTCACTTAACCTCTCTGAGCCTCAGCTTCTTCATCTGTAAAATAAGAATGCTCATTCCATGGATTGGTCATGAGGAATAGTGAGATGATGCATGTAAAGCTTGTAGCCTGGCACACTGTAAATACTCAATAAATGGTAGCTATGTTTATTAGGACTCTTCCACAGCCCTCAGACTGAAATTGTTTGGGGGAGGCAGATGGAGTAGGGAATGGAAGGGAAAGGCTTCAGCAAATGGGGTGCCTCCTCCCTCTTCCTTCCATAATGGGCGAGCATAGAGCCTCCAGGGATCTCTGATGTGGCAGATGCTGGACAGTCACTATAAAGACATGAGATGCCACCTCAAGAAGGTCTCTTCCTATGCAGCTTGCAAGCTTGCAACCCCGGGGAGACTCCCAGCTCCTGGAAGAGACCTTCCTGAGGGATCAGGACCCTCCAGAGAGTTTCACTCCAGTGTACAGAGACTTCCAGATGGTCATTCCTTCTCCAGAAAGGTATCTTTCCCTGTCCAATATCCCAGCATCAACACCACCTAAGAGTTGGGGGCTTGACCCCAACTGTTAAATTTATGACAAGTGTAGAAAATAAGAACATACATAAGCAGAGGAAGCATTATATTTAATATACGCATGCTTTAACTATTCAGGCTTTGAAGATATATAATATTAATAACTCTACTCAGATGGGTACATTAATTAGGCAAAATGGAGTTCAAAGAATTCTCCATTAATCTAGACTTTCCTCCCAAATTGATATGTGAAGCAGGCTCTTGTTTCACTTGTACTCTGAAATAAAGTCCTGGGAAGCAGAAAAGGGACCCCCCCCCCAATGAGCACCTCTAAAGTAGTGCACATAGAAACCCCAAGGCACCCAGCCACACCACACCAAGGATCAGGAAGATCCAGAGCTGGAACCTCGCTGGAGTTTGCAAATCCAGCTATAAAGCTGTCTGGGCTGGGTCGGACCCTCACCCCTGGCTGGCTCTGGCTCTAGCCTCAAACACACTGAGCCTGGATAAACAAACAGGGGATTACGCTGACCCAGACTACGAGGAGACTGCATTTTTGCCTTCTGAAAAAGTCGCAATTTGCCAAGAAAAACCATCTCTGATTCAGACAAGGAAAATCTCGAAATAAATCAGAGCTGCACACAGACCCGGCATAGCTGAGGAAGTCTGCCTGCTTCCTGGAGGAGGAGGGCTGACTCAAGGTAAGCCCAACCTCCTGCTTTCCAGCCTGGCAAGCCAGTGACCAGCATCAGCCATCTGGGTGCCAGCCTGAAGATTCAGATACACAGATCCTCCTCCAGGCCTGGCCTTGGGCAAGTCCCTTCTCCTCACTGGGCCTCAGATGTGAAGCTTCCTGGACTTCATTCAAAGCACCTTTTCTCTTTGGCAGGAATCGCACTGCATCGTGCCCAGCATCCCTCCTTTCCCTACTTGCCCAGTTCCCCACTGCCTTCTCTTCCCTGCACTGACCCCTTCACCCCTCTGTTTATTCTTCCTCAAGGGGTCCCTCTTAGCTTCAAGTTACAGGACACAAAGGAACTCGGATCCATTACCCCTGGAGGAGGTGACCTGAAAGTCCCTGCGGAATGCTCAGTCCTGCCAAGTACTTGGTTCAGAAGTGAGCAGTCAAGTACTAGCACCAGGCCCTGCTAGCCTCCCTTCAGAAAACCAGAGCAATGGCTGGAGAAGTGTCTCCACCCCCAAGCAATCCTGCCCCTCCTCGGAAGTTTCCCTCCTACCACCTTTTTGTTGTGGTGGTTGAGATGGAATCTGACTCTGTCGTCCAAGCTGGAGTGCAGTGGCGCAATCTTGGCTCACTGCAACCTCTGCCTCTGGGGCTCAGGCAATCCTCCCACCTCAGCCTCCCAAGTAGCAGGGACCACAGGCACTCACCACCACACCCAGCTAATTTTTTGTATTAGCCAGAGACAGGTTTTCATGTGCCCAGGCTGGTCTCAAACTCCTGAGCTCAAGCAATCTGCCCGCCTTGGCCCCTCAAAGTGCTGGGATTACAGGTGTGAGCCACCACGCCCGGCTCCTCCTACCATCTTATTTAGCCCTACTCCCTATCCTCCATCCCCTCACATTCTCAAGCAATTATAAAGCCTTTCCTGTCCAGCACTTGTAGGCCCCAGCACAGACACACAGCCAATGCTCAGAAGTTGATGACCTGCAAAACCAAACCCAAAGCCCAGACTTTTTGAAGCCTCCTTGCATGCTGCAACAACTGGAAGTCAGTCAGCACGACATGAAGCATGTTCTACACATGTTACCTCAATAAATCCTTAGCTCTAGTTTTTGCCCTTGGGCATGTTGTTTAGCTTCTCTGTGCCTCAGTTCCCACATCTGTAAAATGGCATGATAACGGAACCACCACATAAGGATGTTCTAAGCAAAGTGAAGTGCGAGTGAAGACACATGAAGAATTTAGAATTGGGCCTGGCACGGGTTGAGTACTCAGTTAATGTGAGCCACTGTTGTCATCATCATCATCATCACCACATCCAGGTTTTCACAGCAACCTATAAGCAATCCTGGGCAAATTAACTGAGGTTCAGAGAGGTCAAGTGACTTCCTCAAGGTCACCATGTAAAGAAGTGCTAAAACATGGCTTTCAATGAGGTCTGCTGACTCCAACATACTTTTCACCATTCCACACCCAATTATGGCTCTTTGGAGCCTATGTGCCATTTGGCTACAACAGGGAGCCAGCAAGCTTCATCCCTGATGGGGCCCCAGTGAGGAGCAGAGAGTGTGAGGGAAGGAACGTGGTTTCGCAGCAATTTGACAGGATTGGTCAGAGGAGCTGGCCACAGGACAGAAACTGGGGTTCTGCTGCCACTGAACAAAAGACCACTTGATCCTCTGCAGAGCCCCTAGGACCTGAGGCCACAAGAGAGAAGCGCTTTAGCAGGAGAAGGAATCCAAACCTCTCCTGCATCTGCCGCCTGGCCCTTTAAACACTAATTTTTCCACTTTTCCTTCCCCAGCTCTGAAAGTTTACGGGACTGGCAGTCTGTCCCGCCCCATGGCCTAACCCAAAGCTTGAACCCAGAGAGGCTTACTCCTCCCTGGTCCCTTGGTACCAAATTAAATGCAAAAATCCAATCCAGCTGGTGGCAGCTGATTGATTGGCCCTGGTATTGAGCCTTCTCCTTGCAAAACTTGCCAAAATCGGAACACAATTCAGAGATCTGAGTGGCTTAACTTCATCACTGCCCTCAGAATCTCCAATCAGGAAAATCCTGCTTCTTGTTCTTCAAACAAAGTCATCATCCAGGAGAGGACATAATTTGTGTCTGTTCCCTGGACATGCAACTCGCAGACTTTGTCAGGATTTTGGTAATACCAAGTCAGGAGCCAATTCAGGAGACTGAAAAAAAAAAAATGGCTTCTGATATTAACCAGCTCCTTGGGCCTCGGTGACAGAGAGTTCCTGAGGGGAGCTGAGTAAGTCTCTGCGGGAGAGTGGGGGGCAGGAAGAGCTAAGACTCCTCTCCAGGGTGTGCGCAGTCTTCTCCAGATGTGTCTGTCTTTCGTGGTGGTCTGAGATATAAGCAAGAAACAGGGTTTGATTTCCTGCTCTGCCCATTCTGATAAGAAAATTGGAAAAAGAACAACCTCTAACCTACAATGAACTTGCTGGATGGAGACTACCTGGTCTACAGTGAACCCCTCCAGGTTCCAGAGAGCCAGCAGCCCTGATTCACATCTCTTTGTTTGCTTCCTCCAGTGTTCAGTCTTTCAGCCAACAAATATTTGAACCTACTATGTGCCCAGCACTGTTCTTAGTGCCGGAGACGGAGACACAGGGAGTAAGACACACAAGCCCCGGCCCCGTGGGCTCTACATTTAAGGGGATCGGGACAAGCACACACATAAATGGATAAAACAATGTCGGGTGGTAATCTGTGCTCTGAAGAAAATAAAATGGGGTGACAGCACAGCAAGGGACTGGATCCTGTGATTGCAAAGAGACTCTAGGGGAGGAGGTGACATTTGAGCACACACTTGAATGTCAACCTTGGGTGCTGCCCACACAAAATCTAGGGACAATCATGGTTCCTCCCCTCAAGAGCCCTCCAATCTACTAAAGGAAAAAAGATGGACACACATGTGAGAGTCACATCTTACCTCCCCTACCTCCCCTAGCTCCCCTACCTCTTTTCCTCCCCTACCTCCCCTCCTCCCCTGCTTCCCCTCCTCCCTTAGCATCCCTCCTCCTCTAGCTCCCCTCCCACCCAGCTCCCCTACCTCCCCTACCTCTCCTAGCTCCCCTACTCTCACTCCTCCCCTACCTCCCCTCCTTCTCTAGCTCCTCTCCCCCCAGCTCCCCTACCTCCCCTACCTCTCCTAGCTCCCCTACTCTCACTCCTCCCCTACCTCCCCTCCTTCTCTAGCTCCTCTCCCCCCAGCTCCCCTACCTCCCCTACCTCCCCTACCTCCCCTACCTCTCCTCCTCCTCTACCTCCCCTAGCTCCCCTACCTCCCCTACCTCCCTTACCTCCCCTACTTCCCCTACCTCTCCTCCTCCCCTACCTCTCCTACCTCCCCTAGCTCCCCTAGCTCCCCTGCCTCCCCTAGCTCCCCTACCTCCCCTACCTCTCCTCCTCCTTTACCTCCCCTAGCTCCCCTACCTCCCCTACCTCCCTTACCTCCCCTACCTCCCCTACCTCCCTTACCTCCCCTACTTCCCCTACCTCTCCTCCTCCCCTACCTCTCCTACCTCCCCTAGCTCCCTTACCTCCCCTCTCCCTTACCTTCCCTAGCTCCCCTACCTCCCCTACCTCCCTAACTCCTCTACCTCCCCTGTACAAGACAGGCAGAAGAATGTGGGGGAGGGGAGAGAGGCAGAGGTCAGATCATGTAGGATTCCACCCAGGCCATGGTGAGGAGTCTGAATTTTATTCCCGGGTGCCATAAGAGGGCACTGGAGGGTTTCCCATTACGGAATGTGGGATTCGATATCCACTTCTAAAGAGGTTCAACCCAGCTGCTGTGTGAAGAAGGATCACAAAAGGAATGGGAAGTATAGACCAGTGATTTCCAGGGCTGAGTAGATTGTAAATGTTCTCACCACAAAAAATGACAAGTATATGAGGTCACGCATATGTTAATTAGCTTTCTGGAGAGACAGCAGTGCAGACAGTGTGCATGCAGCCAATGCATTTGGGAGGTGAGGTCAACAGGATCTGCCGATGGACCAGATGCAGGAGCTGAGGGAAGGAAGGACCAAGAGTGATCTCTAGGCTGGGGCCTGAGTGCATGGGTGATGCGGAGTTGCCATTTGCTGAGACAGGAAAGTCTGTGGGAGGACTCAGTTTGTGAGGGAAGAGCAACCAGAGGCATATTAAATTCTAGAGGCTTCTTGGATATCTGTAGCGGATGCTGTTGACGTTCCACTGAGATCCCCTTTTTCTGGTTGGTGCAGTTCAGTTGCTGAAAGTACTGTGAATCTTCTCTCTAGAGAACTGCCTTGGTGAAGGCAGCCCGACCAGGGGACCCTAGGGAGGTTACACTGCCAACTGCCCACCCCACCAGTGGCTCAGGCCAAGGCAGGACATTGCCAGGCACCACATCTTTACTTAGCCTCTTCTCCTGCCCTATTCTGCCTCCCTCCTACGTAGGATTGATTGAGGGCGTGCTCTCAGGAGAAAGGGCAGGATAGGTATATCCCTGCCTTGGGTACTGTCTGCAGCTAGAAAACCCAACTGAGACCACAGCTAAATGAAGATGTCAAATCGAGAGCAGGTCATAGGAGTCTAGAGTAAGGGCTAGAGATACAGTAAGAGTCACCAGGGTATGGATCTAAAGCCAAGGGACTCGATGAAATTATCTGGGGAAAGAGCACAGCTGGCAACAGAGGATCCAGGATGAAGGCATGGGGTTGTCCCGCACTGAGAGAGAACAGAGCAGGACAAGGCAGTAGAGGAGATTGAGAAGAAAAATCCAGTGAGATAAAGGGAACGAAACAGGTCTCTCTTTCCTTCTGGTCCATGCTATTACCCCCTGTGCTCCCACCACCCCAATTCCTATGTGTGCCTGGGTTTCAGAATCAATGAAAGGGAACTCACATTTACGTAGAAATAATTAAATAATTTAAAAAATTTTGCTGCATTTACTCAAATATGTATTCAGTCCTGAGAGCCAGGGAGGGAGCTTGTATGGAGGGTGCACAGTAAAGAGGGCTGAGCCGGGTGCAGTGGCTCATGCCTGTAATCCCAGCACTTTGGGAGGCCAAGGCAGGTGGATCATGAGGTCAGGAGATCGAGACCATCCTGGCTAACACTGTGAAACCCCGTCTCTACTAAAAAATACAAAAAATTAGCCGGGTGTAGTGGTGGGTGCCTGTAGTCCCAGCTACTCGGGAGGCTGAGGCAGGAGAATGGCGTGAACCTGGGAGGCGGAGCTTGCAGTGAGCCGAGATCATGCCACTGCACTCCAGCCTGGACGACAAAGCGAGACTCCATCTAAAAAACAAAAAACAAAAAAAACAAAAAAAAGAGGGCTGAGACCCTGCTCTAGGACCACCCCTGGGAGAAGAGAAGTCAACAGGTGATAAGAGTTGATGTGACAACAGATGGGATGCACAAAGTCACAGGTTAACTTCTGTTGGTTTTCAGTTATCTCATTTGTTCATCCTTCCCCTCCTTTTCCCTACACACACACCACACACACACACCATACACACCCAACACTAGGGCTCTGTCCCCATAAGCTGATACAATGTCGAGGCACTTCTCAAAGTTTGGGTGCATATGATCACCTAGAGATCTTGGCAGCATACAGGTTATCATTCACTAGGTCTGGAGGGGGCCCAGGGTGCTGCATGTCTAAGAAGGATGCTGGAGGCTGCATTTCTAAGTGATGCCAACGATGCTGGCCAGTGGCCCACATTTTGAGCACCCAAGGCAAAGAGGACACATTACACCGGACAGCAATAGTCAAGGTCAACCTGATCCACGACTTTCCCCAGGAAAGCCAGTTCTTGTAGCAGAAAGAGTTCAGCTAGCCTTGGGCCACACTCCAACACTTCAAGCAGCAGCACGTACTGTGCCCAAGCATTTAATAATGCACAAGACCTTTACGCCTGAAGCATGATGAAGAGAGGCAAAAAAAGCAGATAACAACATCACCACTGTTTATTGGGCTCGCTGACTTTATGCCAGGCACTGTGCTAAGAACATTAAGTGCATTTTTCAGTGTATCCTCCCAGCCTGCAGTATTTGCACTTTTATTTTACCAATGAGAAAGCTCCAGAGGTTGCATTACTAGCCCAGCATGGCACAGCCAAAACCCAGGCAGTCCTACTTTGAAGCCCGAGCTCTGTATCATGACCGCTGAGCTGCCTCTTCAGTGAGCTAATGGAGTCTGAAGCCCACTCACTCTGACCTGGGGCACTGCCTGATTCTCAACAGATGGCTGGATCCCGGAAAGGGAGGAGGTTGGGCAGGCAGGAGCAGTTCACCCAGGTGAGGCACCCCAAAATCACAGCCAGCCCAATTCATCCAGAGCACTTCAGGGGTCCAGGGGTGGAAAGGGGGCCCCTTCCCTCGGGTACCTTTCTCCATCTTGATTCCTAACCTGCTGTTTCTGGTTCCCATTGCAAAACACCAGTTACTTCCAGACCCTCTGAGCCATTTTATAAAAGGAAAGGAACACATAAGAAGCATTGGTTTGTTCTCCAGCTGAACGATGCAGTGAAACCACCCAAGTTAGGGCCCAGCCCAGGCCCTGGGAATGCTCTTATGTTAAAAAATGGAAGACTCATAAGATTCTCCTAAGGTTTATGTCAGCCCTCACCCTCCCCAGAATACAAAACCCCACACAGACCAGGCATTTCTTTCACGCCTCTTGCAGACTAGTCTACTCACCTGTGAGGCCCCAGGACCCAGAGCCCCAGGACTCAGCATGTGACACATCAGGGATGTACAACAACTGTTTGTTGAATGAATTGATGTCCCCTTCTGCCCTGCTGAAAAACTTGGCCCAGAATAGGGAAGAACTCAACATTCAATTTTATAGTGAGTCAGTGGAAATGAAAACCAGTGCAGTCTGTGAGCCTCATGTCCTAACAGCCTCCCCTGGGAAGGTCCAGGCCTACTGCGTGAGACATAAGGGGTTGGTCAGGCCCTCCCCAGGCACTCTGTCTCTCCACCAGCCTGCAAGATCTTGCCCATGATGTAATGACCAAGGCAGAAGTCTGCGGCGCTGGGGGCTGTGGAGTCTAGCTCACTCTGACCATGGCCTCCCTGGGCTGTGAGTCACAGCCGAGGCGATGCTCAGGAGGCATCTGGCCAGCCCTGCAGCGGGAAGTCTGTGCGAGAGAAGGTTCGCGGCCCAGGTGCTCTGAGAAGCTCTCAGGACACCCAGGAGGACCATGGGCTTTGGGCGACCAACTATGGGTCCTCACCCACAAGGAATGGAGTGAGGGACCAGGCAGTTTTTGCACCCTAAGAAATCCAGGACTAAGGAGCACAGAGCAGGGTTCCCCATCTTACAGTTACTGTGAACTAGTTTAAACAATGAGAAGAATTTCACCTCCAGCCACCAGGCCTTTCACTGTGCTGTGCCCTCTGCCTAGAACGCCTCCCTCCCTCTTCACTGGGCAAGTCCTCTTCCTCCAGACCATACCTCAGGCATGGAATCCTCAAGCCAGCCCTCTCTGACCTTCCAGACAAAGCCCCAGGCAAAGCAGATCTCCTTTGTAGCTCTTATCCCACGTAAAGTTTTATTTTATTTGCATGATTATTTTATTGCCTCCCCCCCACCAGACTGTAAACTCCATGATGGCAGCAACTGTTTTTGCAGTTGTCGTTGTATCCTTACCTGGCGCTGTGTCTGGCACAGAACAGAAGCTCAAAATAAGTGTGCTGAAGGAATGTTTGCATTGGGATGGGAGGACAGAACCATGACAATTGGGGAGGACAGAGCCATTTGAATATGACAGGAACCTGTTGAGATGTATGAGCACATAAATTATGATTCTACGTCCTAGTTCTAGCAATAGCCCCTTAATAATAATATGAGGGCTGTCTGCTGCCAGGAAGAGCCCCACATCTCATCTGCACTGCCTAATTTACATGTCCATAAAACCTACAGAGGTAAACGGCAGTAATACATCCAGCACTGGCTCTAATCATATCTAGGATCACATTTTGGGGTTCACTCATTCTTACAAGGTCAGCCATAGCAAAGACCTAGAGATCACAGAAGGAGTTTTCTACTGCCAAATAGAAGGGGCTCTAAGCTTTTGGGCTTCATTGGCTTTTGTCCCGAGTGCAGGGGCACATGCTGTCCTTCTGTCTGAAGATCCAGTTCCTGATAGAGGCTCTGGGCCTTGCTCTGAAGACATCCCTTTACTAAATCCAGTCCATAGCAACAGCCTAGGCAACTGCCAAGGAGAGAGAGCATGCATCCATGCCTCCCAGGAGACTAATGGATGATGGCAGGCACTTACCTCCATGTTAAGATGCAATGTATGTGCCTTTTATCCCTACTCCAGGGGAGAAAGGGGGGGGGGGGTATTTGTGTTCATAGGATGATTTAGTCCAGATGGTTGTATTAATTTCATATTGGATAATCTTTACCCAATATAAGTTATCCAAAATTATGTTGGCTAATTGTAGAGTTAAAATACATTTTTTGAAAAGTCTACCTCTGGAAGGTTTCCACTGATTTCATCACAGCCAGGAGAGTGAATGAGGCAGGATTCCCTGTAGATCTTAGGCCCACCCAACTCCCATTGCAGCTTTGATGATTGTGAGTTGACAGCATGAGATCTGAGTCCCACTGGGCCAAGCTTGAGGCCCAGCTTCACATTCACAAGGCTACCAATTATGGGTTTTGTCAAGTTTAATACCTCCATTTCTTCTGCAGGTCCATAACTTGTAAAATCATCACAGATGTGTTACGATATTACATGTGCCTGCTACATTCTAGGTCTTGGTAAATATTAGTAGTGATAATTGAAGTGGTTAAATTATAACTATTATTTTTTAAGTACAGAAGTGAAAAGGTTCAGGGTGTATGTGGGAAATAGAGTAACTTCCCCCTTGGCTGCAACACAGGCTGAACAAGACACAGGGCTGGAAAGGTAGAGTCTAAATCGAGGGAAAGGGGCTGTGAGAGCGGCCCAGGGCTTTATTTTTCATCTCCATGGGGGAATACCTGAGTTTCTGAGCATGCTCTCTGTCCCAGAATATGAGAGGGTTGCTTGATGTAGCTCTTTTATGGGCTTGACCTGGCTATATAAGGCAGCAACAGGAATTCCCAATGTGAAATACCAACCACATGGGAAAGAAGACTCTACCCTCTTCTGCAAAAAGTAACCCTAAGTCAGAACTTCTCAACAAACCCACCTCAAGTGTGTGCATTCTCAGAGACAGCAGCAAAGAATACACACAGCTAAAACTCCGGAGAAGCAGGAATCAAAAACAAACAAACAAACAAACAAAAAAACCCACGATCACCACTTCTCCATTACCCACATAAATAGAAAGAGGCTATTTCCTTCTGCCTGCACCATTTGCCTGGGTTGTATGTGATCTTGTGAGGACTACCTGAAGCACTTCAGGACACTACAAGTCAGAAGGGACAGAGAAGCTTTGTTCTTGGCTCAATATTCTGTGGCAGCTGGGCAGCTATGAAAAGTGTTACCTCTCAGAATAATAACAATAATAATAATGGCAAGTTTTTTGCCAGGTTCTAGGTGTCTAACATGTTAATCCATTTAAACCTTAAAACAGTCCTGTGAAATAAGTGCCTTCTACAGATTTCAAAGATGAAGAAACCAAGGCACACGGAAGTTCTGTTACTTAGCCATGGTCACCAGCTGGTAAGTGATGGATCCAGGAGTTGAATCCAGCCAATCTGACCCTAGGGTTCATGGTCAAAATAGACAGGATCAGCCGAGCGTGGTGGCTCACACCTGTAATCCTAGCACTTGGGGAGGCCAAGGTGGGCAGATTGCTTGAATTCAGGAGTTCAAGACCAGCCTGGGCAACATGGTGAAACCCTGTCTCTACAAAAAATAGAAAAACCAACCAAGCATGGTGGTGCACACCTATAGTCCCAGCTGCTCAGAGGTGGAGGCAGGAGGATCACCTGAGCCCAGAAGGTCAAGGGTGCAGTAAGCCGTGATTGCACCACTGCACTCCAGCCTGGGCAACAGAGTGAGACCCTGTCTCAAAAAAAAAATATATATATATATATAGGGTAAGTTCTGGGAACCTATTACACAGCACAGCAACTCTAGTTAATTATAATGTCTTGTATACTTGAAAGTTACTAAGAGAGTAGATGTTAAGTATTCTCACCATAAAAAGATGATAGCATGTGAGATGATAGATATGTTAATTAGCTTGATTTAAGCATTTCACGATGTGTATATAGATCACTGCATATATACATTTTTGTTAATTAGACCTTAATAAGGCCAGGGATGGAGAGCTGGGGACCACATTACTAGAGGCAGGAAGGGAGGTGAAGCAGGTTGTATTTTTTTTCAAAGAGGACACTGTGTGTTGCCTCCCATTCTGCCTGCTGCTGTGTTCACTCAGCATCCAACATTCATTAATGGTGTGTCCACTATGTGACTAGAAACTGTCTTTGGAATCATCCCTAAAGGCCCTTTGGAAAGACACCAAAGATCACTGGCCTGCTGCAAGCCCCTCAGCAGATTTTGTTCATATAGAAACCTGAAAAACAATGTTTGCCATTTTTGAAAAGAAGGTGAAGAAAGAGGAAAAGAACAGCATGACTATTTTTAAAACTATTGTTAAATGAACAACCGATGTGTTACCATCCGAAGTGTAACCCGCTGAAGACCGCCAGCACACACACTGTCTTGTGTTCTCAAGGTATTTACACAACACTTACTAACAAAGCTTCTCCCAGGCCATCACACTGTATGTTTATTTAAATGTTTTCTAAATGTGTCATTCATTGATTAAGAAGCTGTACCTCTACGTGTTTTGTTTTGTTTTCTTTTAATGCAAGCTACACATGTCTGTCCACGTGAAATTCTAGAAGCAAGTAAAGTTCACCACAATGGCCCATGTGCACTATAGGCAAACGCTGGGCAGGGCTCAGGCACACAGGCTCCGTGAGCATTGTCAGCGAGGTGTTTGGGCCAACTGTCTAAGAACCCCTGAATGTTCCACTTTGAAATAAAATTATCTTACTACCCTTCCTTCAAAGTTCCAGCCCTGTTTAACTGAAGAACATTCTGCTATTGCAAAGTGAGCTGTTACCATTTGCAATGTAAATCAGGATTTTCTCACACTTTGCAAAAACACAACAAAAACAAGATGAAATGAGATACATTCAAGCTGATCAAATATCATTATCTGTCCTACAAATTGAGGCTCCTTCTGAATTTGTTTGGAAAAAGAGTTGTCCTGCTGTTTAAAAGTATGAAAACCACCACCGTATTATAATGCATGGTCAGTCTGAGAAATGAGAATTCATCCACTCAGCATGCTTCCAGCATGTTCTAAATCTCAGGCACTGTTCTAGGCACTGGGCTTCTGGCTCTCATGAAGTTTTCATTCCAGCAGGAGGACAGAACCAACTGACAAGTACGTGATAATCTAGCAGGTGGTGGTATGCCTTGCTGAGAAAAATAAGGCAAGACAAAGGGAATGTAAAGGGTGTAAGGAGGGTGAAGATGGCAGTTCTTACCCATAGGCTGGCCAGGAAAGAGTCTCTGAGAAGGTGACATTTGACCAAAAGCTGAAGGAAGTAAACAAGTGAGCCATGCAGTTTTCTAGGGAGAGAACATTCCACACAGAGGGAACAGCAAGGGCAAAGGCCCTAAGGAGGAAATGGACCCAAGTGCTCAGGGAACAGCAAAGAGGTGGAGCAGCTGGGGCAAAGAGGGCAGCTTCAGGTCAGATCAGAGAGGCAGCCAAGGAGAAAATTACATGGGGCCTGGAAGCCGCTGTAAAATGGGCAGCAGAGGAGTGAATGATCTGATCTACATTTGAGAAAGCTCCCTCTGCTGCCATGCTGCTTACAGAGGGTAGAGCCCAAAGGCTGAAAAGAGAAGACCAGTGTGGCAACTACTGCAGTTATCCTGAGGAGAGAGCCTAACGGCTTGGACCAGGCTATAGCAGCAGAGGTGGCAAGAAGCGGGTAGATTCTGGACACATTTTTAGAGTAGAATCACTAGGATGTGCTGATGGATATGATTTGGGATATGAGAGAAAGAGGAGGGTCAAGGATGACTCTGAAGGTTTCGTCGCACCTCTAAAGATGGAGCTGTCATTTATTGAGTTGAGGAATGGGTAAATGGGTTTGGTAAGGTTGGTAGGGAAAATCTGGGCTTTTGGTTTCATGTTGGTTTCAGATGCCTATCAGACGCCCACATAGAGATGTTGAGCAAGAAGGCAGATATGTAGGTATGGCTATATCCAGACTAGAGACATAGATTTGAGATATGTCTGCATAGAGATGCTATTTAAACCATAAAATTAGAAAAGATAAGCAAAGGAATGAGAATAGGGAGTGTTCCTAGGGCTGAGCCCTGAGGAACTATACCATTTATGGGTGAGAGAGATGAGGGGGAGCCAGGAGATAAGACTAAGTGGGAGCATCTAGGCAAGTAGGAAGAGAACCAAGTAATGTCCCAGAAACTGAGGAAAGTGTCCCATGATGGAGGCAGTGATTAACTGTGTCAAGAGCTGCTAAAAACCCAGTACAATGAGGTCTGAACATTGCCTGTATCTGCACATTAGCCAGCTTGGAGGTCATTGGTGACACTGACAAGTTGTTTCAGGGACGTAATGGAGACACAAGCCTGAGAGGTGTAAGTTCAAGAGAAGACAGAGACAAGGGATCAGGGAAAGCATGTATAGACCATTATAGGGAGTTTTGCTGCCAAGGACAGCAGAGAAATGGGATGCTAATAAAAAGGTGACAAGGTAGAAATTATAATAGGTTTGACAACAAGGAAATGATCTAGTGGGAGGTGGTGGATAGTAACACAGAAGACAGGAGACAGTGGCTACAGTAATGTCCTTGAGTAAGTACGAGATACGACCTAGCACAAAAGTGGAGGGGTTTGCCCCGTACAGATGCAACAGCAGTTCATCCACAGTGACAGGAGGTTCAGGGCACAGACATGGGTAGATTCAGAGATACAGTAATGGTAACCTGAAGAAACTATCTTCCATTGCCTGGATTTCTCAGTGAAAGAGGAAGCAAGGCTGAGATTGAAGAAGGAGGACCAATGTGTTGGAAGTTTGAGGACAGAATGTGTAAACTGGCCGGGCGCGGTGGCTCAAGCCTGCAATCCCAGCACTTTGGGAGGCTGAAGCGGGTGGATCACCTGAGGTCAGGAGTTGGAGACCAGCCTGGCCAACATGGTGAAACCCCATCTTTACTAAAAATACAAAAAATTAGCCGGGCGTGGTGGTGGGCGGCTATAATTCCAGCTACCTGGGAGGCTGAAGCAGGAGAATCACTTGAACCCAGGAGGCGGAGGTTGCAGCGAGCCAAGATCATGCAATTGCACTCCAGCCTGGGCAACAGAATGAATGAATGAATGAATGAATGAATGAATGAATAAAATAAATTAGAAAAAAGAATACGTAAACTAGTCTTCCAGCACACCAGAAGCATGAATGGACTAGAGGAAGAGAACAGAACTGTCAGGCAGCACTTGGGATAAGTAAGAACAAATTTCTAG